>NC_000001.11:234062909-234214424 GCF_000001405.40 Homo sapiens
CGAACTCCTGACCTTGTGATCCGCCCGCCTCGGCCTCCCAAAGTGCTGGGATTACAGGTGTGAGCCACCATGCCCGGCCTAGCAAAATCTCTTAATCAAGGTTCTGTGTGTGGAGAAAATGACATGCTTCTCTCTGAGTTTAACCCCCACTTCAGGATCTGAGCAAGAGCAAGCACCATCAGGGTCCTAGGATTCCTATTAGTGTCCTGCCCAAAGTAGAGCCTCCGTCCTGTTCCCGGACCAAATTGAGGGTTGGGCTGCTCTTTCTCATGGCCCAGTGAGGAGTTACAGATGAACTGGGGAGGAAGAGAGCTTTTATTTCTGCAACCAGTTACAGAAGGCCTGGAAATTATCACCAGACCAACTCAAAATTACAAAAATTTCCAGAGCTTATATACCTTCTAAGCTATATGTCTATGTGTAAGTGTGAATGCATCTAAAGACATAAGTGATTAACTTCTTTTAATCTATAACTAAGGTCTGAGTCCTGAAGACCTTCCTCTGGAGCCTCAGTAAATTTACTTAATCTAAATGGGTACAGGTGCTGGGGTGATTACCCCTATCTTGTCTCCTGCTAAACTACAGAGGTTTGGGGAGTTCCTTCAGACCTCCAATAAGCTTGTTTATGGAGGCCTGGGGAGTTTCTTCAGATCCCCCCAATAAAACTTGTTTAATCCTAAATGGGTCCTGTTAACAATTCCTTTGTTATTTTGTCATGTTTTAAGGCCTAGGAAAGACCTAGGCAAAACTCTTGGTGGGCTTTTGTCATATTTCAGCCTTGGTATAAGGGCACTGGCTTTTGTTTAGCTTTTAATATTTAACTTAACCACTCAGTCAATACTGAAACAGTTGTTATGGAGGCCTGAATTACTGAGACCCAGCCTGCCACAATCCCAGCATGGAGGACTAGGCAGAAAAAGGGAGCATCCACTTTTTGGCATTCACCTAGAACTTGGCCTCATCAACAGGTAGCTAGGAACGATCTGAGACCTGCCAATGGCCGCTTCTTCTGTGAAGATAGTCCTACATGTGGGATCTGAGGGTCCAGATAGTCCTGTATTGTTAACTGCACCTGGAATGAAATCTCCATCTCACTGAACTGTTTGTTTTTATAATTTCACCATTTTCACTGGGAAGCATGTCTGTGGAGCCCCTCCTGGTGTCATGCTGGAAGTAGATATCTAAACATTTGGATTTTTTGGTGGGGGGGACTGTTTCCTTTGTCTGTTTTATACTTTTGCTTTCATAGCCCTAGATCCCCTCCATTGCCTTGTGATCCTTGATCACATCTGAGAAAGGACTGTGTGTTTCCCTTGAATTTATTTTTCTGTTTTCCAGCTATGTGTCTTGCGTGTGATCCTTTTGACTGGGAAATGGGCTGCTAGGCTTTTGATCTCCAAATGTTAGAATAAGAAGGACTTTATTCTATGGTTAATTTAATATTTAAGAGACCAAAATATATCTTATTATAATTTTCATTTATTTATCAGGGTTATAGAAAATTCCTCTAAAACCTTTTACCATTCTTTTTAGGATTCAGTGGAGTCACCAGAATTCCACTCCAACTCTGTAAGCAAGATGTTTTCCTAGATGTTTTCCTCCAGCAGGTTTCGGCTGTCACATAACACAACTGGAGATGCTACCCCCAGGGTCCTGTGGCTCACCCTGACACAATCACATGCAATCTCTTTCTTTATAGTTGTTGTGCTGTGGCTAATTGTGCTCATTTTATGTAATTAATTCCGCAGGATTTTAATGTGTGCTATTAAATCAAGTTAAAACATGATAATTGTTTGATTTAACTGCCTTAGAACACTGCGTTCAAATAGATCCCAGGGTAGACCAGAGGTAGTTCAGGCATCATAGTACCTAGGGCCATAAATTGTTACTAAAGTTTCTTATCCTCTAACAGCAACCCAGGAAAGTAAGGAACTCTAGTGCATTTACACCTGTCTGTATAGGAAGCAGATATTGAAAGCCGGCCAGAATAGGATATTCTGAAGGGTCATGATCAAAGTACTGAAGACTATTTTCTTTTATAAGAGGTAAAAAGAAGACAGCGAAAAATAGTGCCAGTTGCCTTAAGTAACCTGGTTATAACAAAACATGGAGCATGACTATGATAAGAGAAAGAACAGTTGGTGTGCATCTGGGAAGTTTTTACTGTATGCTTACAGTGCTCATGGTTCTAAGTGTGGAAAGGGAGACTGTGAAAAGTGATGTGAGATCTACTGATCAAACACTTTTTTTTTTTTTGAGACAAAGTCTCGCTCTGTCTCCAGACTGGAGTGCAGTAGCACAATCTCGGCTTACTGCAACTTCGGCCTCCTGGGTTCAAGGGATTCTCCTGCCTCAGCCTCCTGAGTAGCTGGGACTACAGACGCGTGCCACCACGCCCGGCTAATTTTTTGTATTTTTTAGTAGAAACGCGGTTTCACCGTGTTAGCCAGGCTGTTCTGGACTTCCTGATCTCG
This sequence comes from Homo sapiens, assembly GCF_000001405.40. Lineage (NCBI taxonomy): Eukaryota > Metazoa > Chordata > Mammalia > Primates > Hominidae > Homo > Homo sapiens. Next base: position 234,065,384 of record NC_000001.11, read on the forward strand.
TGACTCGCCCACCTCAGCCTCCCAAAGTGCTGGTATTACAGGCGTGAGCCACCGCGCCAGGCCCAAACTCTTATTTTTTAAAATAAATTGGCTTCTGGTTTGACATTTTTGTTTTCAGGTCTAGGGAGATTTAGGACTTAAGAATACAAGATTTACTTTTATACATATATCCTTTTACTATTGTTGTGTTTAAAATAAAATTTCTATATCACAATATATGAGTCTGCCACGAGCGCTATGAGAAAAATAGATCATGTCCCACTTTGGTGGGCATGTGATGTTAGTAAAGACTTAAAAACAGTATGTATGACCTTTTGAAAATAAAACATTTCTTGGTTGACTACACCTTAACCACAGTAATTTCTTGAAACTATATGAGCACAACATTTATTTACAAAATTAACTATTTTTCTAGAACGAGTTTAGATGAGTGTACTTCCATTTAAGAAAATAAAATGAATTACAATTAGGATTAAAACAATAAACTAATACAGTAAAAACTTGCCATACATGAGGTCCAGAAATTTCAGTTGCGTTAAACACGGGGTGACGTTGTCGTGAGGTCAGTGAATGACTTGAGGGCCCTTCGCTGGTCCGGAGGCAAGAGCCAAATCGGTTCCATCCCGGTTGCATCTTGGCGCCACCTGGTGGCACGATTCTGCTCTGGTATCCGTATCAATGGGAATGGTTTGGGGTCCAGTAGCTCGCTGGAGAAAAAATAATTATCATTATTATATTAGGAATTCCAAGGAATTCCAGTTTCCACAGTTCTTTTTGTGAAGACTGATGAAGAGAAGCACTGAGTTACTAGGACCGTGGTTTTTTTCTTTGGCTGCCCGTTGCTCAAGCCTTTTGTCAGCACAGCAGCTGAAGTCAGGTGAGGTCCCTCCTCTGCTATAGCGATTCCCATCTTACTCCCAGGAGAAATCTCCAAGGCCCTCAGATCTTCTCTTCCCCCACATCCTCCCCACCTCTCTGGCCTCATCTAGTACCACTTTCTCCTTGCTCATTCTGCCCCAACTACGCTGGCCTCATTGCTGTTTCTGGATCCCACCAGGGTGGTTAGCTGGAACTCCAGGCTGCAGCGGTGAGTCCAGGTTTCCTCATGGTTTTTAAGCAATCCATGGAGGTAGGAATGGGAGGACGCCAGGAAGGCCATGTGCTTCTTACCTATGGAAATAGGGTTGCCTTCCATTATGCTCCTGGTCTCTTCCTCTTCACTTCCCACTACCTTCTCCTTCCCAAAGATAAAAAGGGTTGCCCCTGCCCTACTTCTCAAATAGAAGTTGGACGAGGGCAAAGAATAGAAGCCAACCTCTCTCTCTGTCTCTCTCTCTCTTTCCCTCCCTCCCTTTCTCTCTCTTTCTCTCCCTCTCTCTCTCTTTCCTTCCCTCTCTCTCTCTCTTTCTCTCCCTTTGTCTCTCTCTGTCTCTGTCCCTCTCTCTCCCACACACACACACACACACACACACACACACACACACACACACACAATTATATTAAAATCTCTGTTATTGCAAGCTGTTTTTGTACCCACTTTCTGCAGTTCATTAGGGAATACATAATTCCATGACTTCATTTGCGTATGAATAAAGCTAGTCACTTAAAGGATCAAACATTTTTACAAATAACTCTTATAATAAATAACTTTCTTAAATGTGTACTGTTCTACTCTGCTTTCTTAGTTCTGATTTGTCAAAGTTTATCACCACAATCATCATTTGTTATATCCCATTTTAATAAGGACATAAGTATATTGCAGAGGCAATTGTGATTTTTTTTTCTACCTACACACTGCAAATGACAACTGATTTGAGGCTTTTTGAGATCTCAACTTAGGGGTTTATATTTGCCTCAATTATTTTCCTATTTCTGAAGATTTCAACGGCTATTGTCGCTACCTTTAGCATACTCGCCTCTAGTAACCAATGTCTATTGACAATTCTAACTTACTATATTAGGATAATATCCCATGGGCTAAAAAGCCAAATAAAAATTTTATTAGAAAATATCAAACACCGGTCCGTGGTCTCTGAGCAAGGGTGTGGTGGATCATTTGCAGCATGACCTCCGCATATCCTCTCCTTATGTCCGCATCCGTGAGTGGTCTTCTTGACTCTGACTCTGGGCTTGATCAGCTGACTTGCTTAGCCTAAGAAGCAACTTTTGAGCCCTGAAATCTGGGGGCCTTACAGCTTCTTTTCTCAGAACCCTGAGACTACCTGGCGAAGAAGCTTGGGTTGTCCTCCTGGAGGATAAGAAATCACGTGGCAAAGAGAGTCCCAGCCAATAGCCAGCACCACCACACATGTGAGTGAGGACATTTGATACCACCTAGCCCGAGCTGAGCCTCCAGATGACTGCAGCTGCATGCATGACCCCTGGCAAAACCAGCAGAACTGCTTGACTGAGTCCAGTCCTGATTGTTCATTCACAGAGTGAGGAGCAAATGAAGGGGTCATGGGTCATGGTGGTGGTGATTTGTTACACAGGAAAGGGTAATTCATGCACAAGGCCTCTGCCATTTACCTTCAAATAAAGTAGCTGGGTTTGGTGAAGACCTCTGAAATATCTGTTTGGCCTCCAGAGGTGGGCTTTACTTATTCCAAAATTCTGGGCTTGGTTTCAGGTAACCGAGAGCCTTCCAACTAAATGCCATTTACTCACATTATGAAAACCTCATGGCTCTCCTAGAGATGTTTAAGCAATTTAAGGATAATGAACCACTTATGAGATTGGAAGGGAGACAGATAAGCTTAAAAGTGTTAGGAGCCTCTGCCAACCGAAACTCCATCAGAAATGAAAATGAAGTGTCTCTAAATGTGTTAAGAAAGTGACTGTAAACGTGGGATTCAATGCGAAAAATTCCACGCACCTCAAACTTTCAGAAATAGTGAATGCACTCTGTCCCTGCCTTTTGGTTTATGGCTTCCTCTTGAAACTCCTGTATTAAGAAAACTTCAACAACTGCTGTCAGCCAGATGCAGTCAAGGGTGCTGTGAAAGGTGCAAAGGTAAGTTAGCCCTGACTCTCATCTGATTCACAGTCTGTAACAGAAGACTCACATGCTAACAGCTACAAGAAGCAGCTCAGCCTCCCAAGTAGCTGGGACTACAGGCGCGTGCCACCATGCCTTAGCTATGAGAGAAGCCATCATAGAACCCATAATTGCTGTCCCTGAAACAGAAGTAGGCACAAATAGGAACTATAATAGAAGTAGGAACAAAGTACAGTAGGAGCAGGAATAGCCAGTAATCTGGGAGTCAGAGAGGTGTGTGTGTGAGCAAGCATGTGTGTGTGCATGTGTGCATGCAGTAAGAGGCAAGAGTGCAGACCACGTAGGCCTTGCAGACCGCTGTAAATGCTTGGCTTTTGTTCCTTGTGAGACAGGAATAAAGAAATGTCCAAGCAGAGGAGTGACAGGATAAGATTTGAGACATTATATATATATATATATATATATATATATATATGGCATATTTATATATATTTTACATATTTTTTATATTTATATATTATATATATTTTTATATGTAATATATTATATATAAAATTATATAATTTTACTACATATAATATATAAAATTATATAATTTTACTACATATAATATATAAAATTATATAATTTTACTATATATAATATATAAAATTATATAATTTTATATATAATATATATTATAATATATATTATATGCAATATATATTATATATTATATTATAATATATTGTATATTTTTGTATATAAAATATATAATATATAATATATTTATAGACAATAATATATAATATAATATATAAAATTTTATATATAAATACATATTTATATATTATATTATATATAATTTTATATAAAAATATATAATATATATATAAAATACATTTTTTTTTTTTTGAGAGGGAGTCTTGCTCTGTCACCCAGGCTGGAGTGCAGTGGTGCAATCTCAGCTCATTGCAACCTCCACCTCCCAGGTTCAAGTGATTCTCCTGGCTCAGCCTCCTAAGTAGCTGGGACTACAGGCATGTGCCACCACACCTGGCTAACTTTATATTTTCAGTAGAGACGGAGTTTCACCGTGTTAGCCAGGATGGTCTTGATCTTCTGATCTCATGATCCACCCGCCTCAGCCTCCCAAAGTACTGGGATTACCGGCATGAGCCACCGCACCCGGCTGAGATTTATATTTTGAAAGCATCTCTCTGTCTGCAGTGCTAAGAGCCAAAAGGTGGAGAACAAGTTGCCAGAACTTACGAGTCTTCTTAGGCCTCACTCACAGGCTCATGGGAGCCCAGCCTCCCCCAGGGTCCTCAGAACAGGGGTCCCAAAGTCCCTGAGGTAGTCCTCTCTTGGCTACCACCCCGGCACTCTTAACACAGTCTTGCATTTGCCTGCCATTTCTGTTGCTCTTCCTGTAGCTCAGACATTCTCCCCTTGTCCCTGATGGGCACCATGCTCAGTTGTGTCTTGATTTCATTGCCACCAGTCTCGTACTGCCCAGACTGTGCTACATTCTGGCTGCCAGCTTCTGTGTGCCTGGAGGATACCCTTCATTCTTACTTGAGCTGGCCTTGGTTATACAGGAATGGAGACAGCACCACCTTGTGCTCTAATCTCATACAGAGCTTTCAAACCCAAATCTTCTTCCAACCACCTCCTCCACCAGGAAGTTGGTTTAAATGGCTGGAAAGAACGTGCAGAGCCAAAGAAGCCTGAGCAGCACATACTCTGCGGGATTCAAGGCCATCCTTTCTGCCCATTCTAAACTGACCTTGCTCCTTAGAGCCCTGTACAAACACAGCATCCTCTGGTGTGAAGATGAGATCTCATGCATTCCCCAGAAGGTTCTGACCTTCCTTCATACAGCAGGTTCCTGGAAGGCCTACCTGCTGGCTCTAGTGGGTGAATATGATGAAGCCTGCAGGCTGCCTGGCCAATTACTTCATTAATGCTGACATGAAAGCACAGCACATCAAAATAGAAAACATGGTTTTTATGCCTTCATTTCCCAGTAGGCTTTTAAATAATTTACTTTTCCTATACATGGAGGAATTTATTTATGCGTATACCAACCAAATAGTCTTGATTTTTTAAAGTATGTATTCCAAGTATTTTTATCCTGGTTTCAGGTCACCTTGACTAATTTCCAGTTTAGCAAATATGGTGACCATAGCCATATTATGCCTCTGTCCCATAGACAAATCTAACAGAATGTTGGGTGTGTCCGCAATTTGTTTTTAATTACCTTTATAGATAGTTTCCATGTGTATTATTGTTTTTTAATCTCATCAGGTTCATAGAATTGTTCTAACAATTCATATTAGTTAACATCTTTTTCTGTTTTTCCATATTTTAAGAATTTGTCTATTTCCTGCAGTTTTTTTTTGTAAGGTTATAATTGACATATTTTTATGCCACCCCATAACATATCAGTTCATTTTAGTAATTTTGTATGATGGCCTCCTTAAAATAAATAATTAATGCTCCTCTCAACCTTCTAGATTTGTGCAGAGTTACAATTGGAGACTGTTAGAACTAGGAAGAATCTGAGAGCTTACCCTCAACTCCCATTTTGGGAGATGAGGAAATAGATGCAGAGCAATCCCGTCTCACCTGAAGCCCTGCCTCCAGGCAGCCGACAGAGCCTCACGACTCTATCAGAGAAAGTCTGTCTTGTTAGGTATACAGTGAAGAGACTGTATACCTTTCAAAGGAGTTGTCCCTCCTCTGGCCCTATGTGTGGAGAGGACCCAAGAGCAGACCCGGCAGAGTCTAGGGACCTGGCAAGTCAAGAATCTATCAATAATATCGCTACAACACATGAGTACCTGCTGGGGGTCAGGTGCTAGTCAAATGCTTTCTTTATTTCCTTGACAATTACTTACTGAGAAACTATGGGCCAGGCACTGTTCAAAGTCCTTGGGACTCTCCAGAGAGTAAAATGGTAAAACAGCTCCATCATCATGGTGCTTCTTTTAGAACCATTTTCAGAAAGCTTGTTCCCATCCTGGTTTCATTAGAGCAAAGACGACGTTCTTGTCACTCCTGCTGGGTCCTCCACCCCTGGCAGAGAGCCTGTAAGTTAATGGGTGGGTGGACAGTCCTTACGTGACCAAATTCATGTGTTTCCAAATCTTTGCCATTTCTCTCACCTCTGATAGGAGTAGAGCATTAATGGGTTAAACAGAAATTATCAGTTTAGTAGGCTCTCACCATGAAAGTTACAACAAATAACATTTTTAGGAATATTTAATGAACATTCCATGTTATTCAGATCTATGAACATGCAATTTGTCATTGAAGAAGTGAGGCCTTGGGAAGAAAGCAGCAGAATGCTTCAAAAGGTGTCTAATTTCCACCTACAAACCTATTAATAACAGCTCCTCCCAAACTCCGTACCTCCTATTGGCATGCCTCGTTAAGATGTAATTAATGGCCAAGGACCACCCTTTCTACTCCCCAAATTGTTGGCTAGTTGTTGAAGTTATGGGAGTTAAGAAACTCCACTATCCCTTGTCAATAAAGTTTCATTATATCCCACAGGGCACAATTGGCACCATTTACTGGCCTGGACAGAAAAAGGAATCAGGGGACTCATGAGTGTGGTTGCTTGAATTGGGAATGAGAGAACTTATGACAATGTAGCTGAGTGGAAATAACTGTTTTTAGAGTCAGATTTATGTAAGTGACTACTGAAATTAATTCAACAACAGTAGATATTGTAGGCAGCATGACTGCTTTATGTGCTGTTGCTAACTCCAAGGATTTCTAGAAGAATAGGACAATCCTAACAGTGCTGGTTTATTTTGGATATTTTTCTGTCTTGTCTAAGTAGCTGTGCCCTGGGTTTACATTTATTTATCTGTGAAGAAGGTTGCACTTAATAAAAGGCACTTGCTATGGTCATATGTTTCTTTCTGCCTTTATTCAGATGCAAACATAATTTTCTGTTAGTGACAATTGCCTGTGCCAGTCATTGGGCCCTTAATTCACTCAACAGATACTTCCTGAGCACTCATCAGACACTGATGGAGATAATGCAGTGAACAAAACAAAACCCTGGCCCTCCTTGGTAGAAAGAGAGAGACATGAAGCAAATATACAATTAAATATGTAACATGTTAGGTAGCGTTTAATACGATGGAGAAAAATTAAGCCAGGAGGGCCTGGGACAGACAGGAGAACTTGCCATTTTCTATGCGGTGACCGGGGAAGTATCTCTGATGTGAAGATAATTGAACAGAGAAAGGGGTGGGGGGCTGTGGATCTCGGGAAGAACGGTGTTCCAGGCAGAAAAGAAAGCCAATGCAACCCCTTGCAATGAGGCTATGCTTGAAGTGTTTGGGGAACAGGAGGAAGCCAAAATGGCTGCGGCCTATGAGTCAGCAAAGAGTGGCAGGACCCATGGGCAAGGGGGCAAGGGTCCCCATCACACCAGGCCTCAGAGGTCTTGTAAGGACCTTGGCTTGGCATGGAGAGATGGGAAGACCCTGGAAGGCTTTGATTAGAGGAGTGGCATGAACTAACTTAGGTTTGAAAAGAATCACTTTGGTTGTTATATGGCAAAGCAGATGGTGGGAGGACAGGCGTGGGCACTGGGAGACCTGGCGAGGGTGTTTGTGATAACCCAGTGGAGAGATGATGGAGGTGGCTGCAGAGGCAGTACAAAGTGATCCCATTGACTCATCTGTTCCGTGTGGATGTGTCTGTACCTTTCCCACAAGAACACAAATGTCAGATGGGCAGATATGCTAGCTTCTATTTCCTTTTGATTTTTATTTTACAGATAGGGTCTTGCTGTGTCACCCAGGCTGGAATGCAGTGACGTGATCATAGCACACTGCAGCCTTGAACTCCTGGGCTCAAGCAATCCTCCCACCTCAGCTTCCCATGTATGTGGAACTATAGCCATGAGCCACCAAGTCTGGCTAATTTAAAAAAAAATTTTGTAGAGATGGGATCGCACTGTGTTACACAGACTGGTCCTGAAATCCTGGGCTCAAGAGATCCTCCTGCCTTGCCTTCCAAAGTGCTAGGATTACAGGCATGAACCACCATGCCCAGTCCCCTATCTTCTATTTCTTGAGTCCTTCCATAAGCACCTTGCATAGCTGGATAATCGAAACACAAAAGTCATCATGGAAAGAAGCAGCAGCCATTGCTGTTGGAGACTGTGAACAAACCATTCAGCCTATCCATCAGGATACCCGTCACCTACCTCCCGGTTCCTTCAAAGGTACTGGGAAATCATTCTGAAATTCTGTGAATCAGATCAATTTAAATCACTTCCTCCGACATGATAAATATATGATACATACCACTCATTTCATTGTCCATATAAAATAAAAATCCAGTATAAACTGTGAAACCACTGGACTTTTTTCTCTTCTTTCCCTCATTTTTCCCATTTGCTTGTGGGTGTCCCAGGAAAAAGTCCCAAGTTTGATGTCGTACTTGCTTCAGTTTCTTTTTTTATTATTAAATGTGGTAAAATATTTGTAACATAAAATTTACCATCTGGGCCATTTTTAAGTGTGCATTCGATCGTGTTAAGTGTCTTTATATTGTGTATCATTGTCCAAGCTTTAGTTTCTTTTTCTGCTAGGTCTGGCAGGCCTGGAAGCCATATTGAGTGTGGCAAAATTCTCCATCTATTCTTCTACTGTTTTTCTATTAATGTGCTTGGTGCTACATTTTAAGAAACGTCCCTCTTGTCTCACGGTCTGAAAACTACCTTCTTTTCACAGGTGTCGGGTGTCATCCTACTCTTCATAAGTTAAACACTCCCTTCAGCTTTCCCTTTAAAATGTACGTCAAGGTCACGGGTCACATGGCTGGTCAGTAGCAGAAGCTTCCATCCTGATTGCTGGTCCTGTTCTCTTTTCATTACCTGCTATTATCTCTTCTGGACCCACTTCTTTCTCTTTTGACTTCATCATCAGTTAACAATGATTGAACACTGGGCACTTCTAAAAGCAATGCCAGAGCAAGCAGCTGCCCTAAAGGAGTATGTCAAGTATAAGAGGCAACTAGCAAATAGACATAGATATTGAAAACACAAATGACAAAATCTGTAACCACAGCCATGACAGCTCAACCCATGCAGATATGTATATATGAGTTCTCAGTGCCCAAGTAGGTGGAAAGATGAAGTGGGGGAGGGTAGGATGACTTCTACAGACACTGGAGCCCCAGGGGGCCCAGTCAGAAAAGGCAAGACAGGCAGGGGTGGAGCTCAAGCGGAATTTTAAAGGTTTCAAAGCTCATGATTTCTTAGAGGCAGAAGGTGATCTTTTCTCAGAGGCATAGAGAAGGTTCAGAAAGTTTGCAGAAAGCAATCAAAGTAGAGAGGGTGGAGCGGAATTTGTGGGAACTGAGTGAGGTTAGGGCAAAAATACTTCAAGTGCATGTTATTTTCATTTGGTAGGAAAAGCAACTGGTAGCCACTGTTGGCATTGAAGAAAGGAAATCCAGGTGACACTGATGAGAATCTGCTTTTACCACATTTGAGATGTCTGGGGAGGAGCTGAGACTGAAATAAGGAAAGTCAACTAAAGGCGTTGATCAAGAGCCTGAGCTTGGGCTGTGACGTCTGAGTTTTTTTGATGTTGGGACCAAAGGAAAATTATGGCAATGAGGACTTAGGAATCAAGGAGAAAATAAAGAACTCAGTCTGAAAAGTTTAATTTTACATGGTAGTGAGATACACCGATGAGAGAGTACTAACAATGTGGAAATCATACAGTGAAAGAGAAATTGAGAAGTTAGTGATATAAATCTGAGAGACATATGTTCCATGTTAGAACAAAGGACACAGATGATTTAGGCAAAATAATGAACCAAAAACGGACCTTGGGTGAAGAAACATCTCAGCAAAGGAAACAAACAAACTGGTAAGAGGAAAACTACTAGTCAACAGTAGTGGCGACCCCACATGCATGCCAAGCCCTTCACCTCATTATGGGGAGAGCCAACGGAAGTGGTCTCCATCAGCCTTGTGCCTTAGAAAGAGCATATATTTTAATATATGTACAAAAATACGGGAGCATTTGCAAAGAAACATGTCTTTAGTGCAAGCTAATAGCATGTGGGCTAGGCACATTGTGCTGATAAAGTGATAGAATAAGAATAGTTATTTTGAGAAGATTCCAGATAAAATGTGTGGGAAGCACTTTCAGCAAATCATTCCGCACTGAGAAACAACTGAGGTCGTTAGAAAAGAGGACCAAGCTATGCACACTGTAGAGCAGTCAGGAGTAAATAAAATAGCTTATTATCTAGGTAGTGGTGTGAAATCTGGAGAACGTTAAGGAAAGTAAAGACCCCAATTCACTGCCAAAAGGAAAAAAATAAGCTGGAAGCTGAGTCTTGCAAGAAGCTGCCTTTCCTTTTGTTCCTAAGCAGGTAGCTACAGATAAAAGGTTAAACAACACCACAGGTAGCTACTCTGTGTTCACCTTATCTTACATAAAGTGCTGATATACTGAGTAATTGACTATTCCCCTACCTGCTCCTTTTCTCCTGCAACTTGTGGATTACCACACCCGCGCTTTTTTGCTCTAGACTGCTTTTTCCATTTAAATATTGAAGCCCTGGAGTTCAGCTTTGGAGAAAGGCACAGACCGCAGACTGTTTTCTGTGATTCCATGTTATTTTCTTCTGGGTATGTTCTTAACCTTGGCAAAATAAAATTCTGAAATGATTGAGACCTGTCTCAGATACTTTTTGTTTTACAGTTGAAATATTGGAAAGGTAATAATGGCAATAATTCACTCCTCGGTTTTTTTTCTTTGGTAAAGTTAAAAAGCTATGAAATTTTGTCATGTATTGCCAGGTGGTACCAATACATTTTAAACGTATTATCAAGGTGACAGCCCCATTAATTCTGAGAGGATAGTTTGGAACCCAGAAAGCATATTTTAAAAGAAAAAGGTAGTAGCTGGGTGTGGTGGCTCATGCCTGTAATCCCAACATTTTAAGAGGCTGAGGTGAGAGGATCACTTGAGCCCAAGAGTTTGAGACCCACCTGGGCAACATAGTGAGACCCTGTCTCTCTCTACAAAAATAATAATAATCATCATAATAATTTTTTTTTTTTTTGGAGATGGAGTCTCACTCTGTCGCCCAGGCTGGAGTGCAGTGGCACAAACTTGGCTCACTGCAACCTCCACCTCCCAGGTTCAAGCAATTCTTCTGCCTCAGCCTACCAAGTAGCTGGGATTATGGGTGCCCGCCATCATGCCCTGCTAATTTTTGTATTTTAGTAGAGATGGGGTTTCACCATGTTGGCCAGGCTGTTCTCGAACTCATGACCTCAGGTGATCCACCAGCCTCGCCCTCCCAAAGTGCTGGGATTACAGGCATGAGCCACCATGCCTAGCCACAATAATAATATTAATTAAAAGAAAAAGCTAGAATCCTAGCAGTTCTCTTCTGTCGATAAAGTGTGCCACCCAAGGGGAGAGAGCCTGGCAGGGGTGTGTCCTGCAATGGAAATGCAGAGTTGCCAGTGAGTTACCAAAGCATCTTACTAATGGTGGGTGTATTAGTCCATTTTCACACTGCTAAAAAGAACAGTCTGAGACTGGATAATTTATAAAAGAAAGAGGTTTTTTTTTTGTTTTTTTTTTTTTTTTTGAGACGGAGTCTCGCTCTGTCGCCCAGGCCGGACTGCGGACTGCAGTGGCGCAATCTCGGCTCACTGCAAGCTCCGCTTCCCGGGTTCACGCCATTCTCCTGCCTCAGCCTCCCCAGTAGCTGGGACTACAGGCGCCCGCCACCGCGCCCGGCTAATTTTTTGTATTTTTAGTAGAGACGGGGTTTCACCTTGTTAGCCAGGATGGTCTCGATCTCCTGACCTCATGATCCACCCGCCTCGGCCTCCCAAAGTGCTGGGATTACAGGCGTGAGCCACCGCGCCCGGCCAAGAAAGAGGTTTAATTGACTCACAGTTCAACATGTCTGGAGAGGCCTCAGGAAACTTACAATCATGACAGAAGGTGAAGGGAAAGCAAGGCACCTTTTTCACAAGGCTGCAGGAAGGAGAAGTGCTGAATGAAGTGGGCAGAGCCCCTTATAAAACCATTAGATCTCCTGAAAACTCACTATCATGAGAACAGCATGGGGGAAACCACCCCCATGATTCAATTACCTCCACCTTGTTTCTCCCTTGACATGTGGGGATTATGGGGATTACAATTCAAGATAAGATTTGGGTGGGGACATAAAGCCTGACCATACCAGTGGGTGTGCAGTGTCATGCTGACTGGGAGGTTGGCTACCACGGATCAGGCACCCTTCAGAGATCCAGTAAGCTTTGGGCAGGCGGTGGGTTCTCATAGCCTGCACCTCAGCTGTGGGGCTCAACTCCAGAAAAATCTCACAGCACAGTGAACAGCGACCCCTCTCAATTCACACAGTCTGCAGTGCTGCCTGGCACCCTCCAGGGTTTCTCAATTCAGTTGTGTGCCTCTTCTCTGGAGCCTCCACCCTCCACCTCCAAGGGTCTTCATGAACACTTTATTCCCAGCAGATGACATTGAGGGTTGCTCCCCAGAGAATATGAAAGATGTCAGGGAGGAATTACTTCAGCTCTCCACCACTGAGTCTACAAACCTCTGTCATCACCCACTATTCTCTCCTTGACTCCTACTGCAGAGGAAGATGTCCTCCAACTAAGGCCAGTCCCTTCACCTGCAGGTTGAATCCTGTCCCCTTCCAACTTTCAACAAGTCTTGTGGCCTCCTTCATCTCTCTGCCCCTGTGCATTCATCTTTTTCCTTTAGGTTCCTTTCCTCTACCATTTAAATTGGTCTTAAGTCTTTCTCATATTAAAAATCAAAACTACACAAAAACTGCCTCTCTTAAAGATTTGTCTTCCTCTTCTTCCTCCTCCTCCTCCTTCAGCACCCACTGTTTCTCTCCAATTTTCTCAGAATAGTTATCCACACTCACTGCTCCATTTCCTCACCTCCTACTCATTCCTCATTCCACTCCAGCTGGCTTCTGGGCATGTTATTCCACCAAATCTCACTTCACCAAGATCACCAGAGACCTCTATGTTAAGTTTAACCATAGGCATTTTTCAGTCTTCAGTGAACTCATCTTCCGCAACAGTCAGCCCTGTTGATCCCCCTTGCTCCTTTCTGAAGGAATCCTCTCCATTGGTTTCTCTCCTTCCACAAGTCCCTGGATTTCTTTGACCTCTCTAAAAGCTAAGCCTCAGATTCCTTTGCAGGCCCTTTCTTCTGTATCTGGCCAATAGATGCTTGGATTCCTTGGGACTCTAAGCCCTTTTGTGCTTTGTGTTCTCTTTCTGACTCTCAAAATAGGCAATTAAGTCCTTTTCTATGGCTAATTTTTTTTGTAAGATGTTACAATCAGATCTGGAACTTAAAAATTATCCAGTTCAATATCTTACTTTATACAAGGAAAAGCAGTCACTGAACAAGGACATGACTGACCTTGCAGGTCAGAACTGAGGTCTCTGTTTTTATTTAAATGTTCTTTCACCCTCACCACACTGTGATCTGCAAAGAGAGAATTAAAAGAGCTTGAAATTTCAACTGCCTCTTTTCCAGAAAAAAATCAAAAGCGGTTCTAAATTCATATAGAAAAACAAGGGACACTGAAAAGCCTAAATAATCTTGAGAAAGAACAAAGTTGGAAGACTTGCACTTTCCAATTTCAAAAGGTACTACAAAGCAACTGTAATCAAGACAGTGTGCTGCTGGTACAGGGATAGACATATAGTTCAAGGGAATAGAATGACATAGTTCAGAAAGAAACCCATATATAAATAATCAGTTGATTTTCAACAAGGGTACCAAGACTATTCAATGGGGAAGTAACCTTGTCAACAAATGGTGCTGGGACATGAGTCTATTTTTTTTATACGGTGTGAGATTAGGGGTCTAACTTCATTATTTTGAAGACCTAAATGTCAGAGCTAAAACAGTAAAGCTCTTAGAAGAAAACATAGGAGTAAATATTCATGATTTTAGATTAGGCATCAATTTCTTAAATATCAAACAAAAAGCACAAGCCACTAAAGAAAAACAGATACTTTGGACTTCAGAGTAAAAAGACAACCTACAGAAAGGCACAACGATTTTGCAAATTATATATTTTGAGTTTAGCATTCAGAATATACAATGAAAAAGTCAACAATAAAACTCAACAATAAAAAAGTCATGAATGAAAAATGGGCAAAGGATTTAAGTAAGCATTTATCTCAAGAAGATACACAAATGATCAATAATCACCAATGAAATGTCTAACATCATTCATTATTAGGGAAATGCAATTTGAAACCACAATGAAATATCATTTTCCACCCATTTATGATGACTAGAATAAAACTTTCTTTAAAAAACTGAAAATAAGAAATATTAACGAGGATATAGAGAAATCGGAACCTTCATATATTGCTGGTGAGAAAGTAAAATGATGCAGCCACTATAAAAAACAGTTTGACAGTGTGATAGTGTGATATAAAAAGACACAATATATTTGGCTTTTGTCTCTGGTTTCTGTAACAGAGCTCCTAAAACGCTAGAGATTTCTTGAGTGATGGGGTGAGACAGCATCTTTTGTTATTCTTAAAAAACCCCTTTCATCAATACCTGAGTGTGTGCTAATGAGGTGACTCTTGGAGGGTGAGGGCTGGTTGCTGGAGGTGATCAACAAGGTGATCAAAGGGATAGAACTTTCAGCCCCACCCCCGACCTCCAGGGAGAGGAGAGGCTGAGCGTTCACTTAATCACCCATGGCTAATGATTTAATCACCCCTGCCTATAAAATGAAGCCTCCATTCAAACCCAAAAAGTTGGAGTTTGGGGGAGCTTCCAGGTTGGTGAGCAAATCAAGGTGCTGAGAGGTTGCTGTGCCTGGGAGGGCATGGAAGCTCCATGCCCTTTTATTATTATTATTTCTTATTACATTACAGTATCACAGGTGGTTCCTCAATTATGAAGTTACCATAGGACCCAGCAATTCCCCTCAGGTATATACCCAAGAGAATAGAAAACATATATTCACACAAAAACATGCATATGAATGTTCCTAACCACATTATTCATTATTATAGCTAAAATATGGAAACAGCCCAACTGATGAATGAATAAACAAATTTGATATATTAATACAATGGAATATTATGCAACCATTAAAAGGAATGAAGTGCTGATGAATGCTTCCCATTAAAAGGAATGAAGTGCTGATGAATGCTTCAACATGGATGAATCCTGAAAACATTATGATAAGTGAAAGAAGCCATACACACAAAACTACAAAATGTACGATTCCATTTATATGAAGTGTCTAAAATAGACAAATCCATACAGAAAGAAAGTAGGTTAGTGGTTGCCAGGGAAGGGAAGTGGAAGGAACTAGGAATGGTTACTCACAGGTATAAGATTTCTTTCTGCGTCAATGGAAATATTTCAAATAAGATAGTGGTGATGAGTATACCACATCATGAATATTCTACAAACCAGTGAATCGTGTACTTTAAGATGGTGAGTTTTATGTTATGTGGATTTTTATCTCAATAAAAAATTGCAAAAAAAACCCTTCAAAGTAATATTTAATTCTTTTTCTTCTCTGTCCTCCCTACTTGCCACAATTATTCAACCATACAGCCCCAGGCCAACTTAGCGACCTCTTAAAAATTTCCTTTGCTTCTCATTCCTACTGCCATATATTCAATAATAGCCTCCCACCTGGTCTTCCTTCTTCAGTCTCTTCAGTCTTTCCCAAAGCTCTTGAATCCTACATGAACCCATGCCTCGGTCAAAATATTACAGGCTGCAGCCAATCTTCAAGTGGCATACAGGCCAAACATCCATTTATAATATGGTTGGAATTCCTAACACATTTTATCATAGATCTAATGCCATACAATAGGTGGAGGTTAGATCCTCACGCAACTCATGAAAGCATGTTTCATCTTCGAATAACTGAGAGCTAGTTCTAATAGTACTAGAGAATCTCATCATTGCAAACATTGTTTTTGTTGGAAAATAAGCTCAGAGTTCTAATTTGTACTCCCTTGATCCAAGCTGCTGGTTCCTGTTTCCCAGAGTCAGGACCTGGGGGAGGGGCTACGGGAGGCAGGGGATTGAGTGGGCAGCAGTGGGTCACTGTGGATGGGGTGAATATCCTTCCATTATAACCACAGAGCCCTGTCTCTGACTGGAGTTACCTATTCAACCCTATTCTTTGCTTTTCTTTACACTGCCTTTTCTTGATGCCTTTAACCAGGGCTTCTGTCTTGTCCACTGTAAAAGAGAATACTCCATCAAAGCTTGTGTGCCTTCCAGGTGTGGACCCCTGGGGCAAGCTGGTAAGTTGGCACCTTTCTTTTTTTTTTTCTTTGACACAGAGTCTCACTCTGTTGCCCAGGCTGGAGTGCAGTGGCGCGATCTGGGCTCACTGCAAGCTCCGCCTCCCAGGTTCATGCCATTTTTCTGCCTCAGCCTTCAGAGTAACTGGGACTACAGGCGCCTGCCACCATGCCTGGCTAATTTTTTTTTTTTTTTTTTTTTTTTTTTTTTTTAGTAGAGACAGGGTTTCACCATGTTAGCCAGGATGGTCTCGATCTCCTGAACTCGTGATCCACCCACCTCGGCCTCCCTAAGTGCTGGAATTACAGGCGTGAGCCACTGCGCCCAGCCCAAATTGGCATCTTTTCTAGCAATGCTTTCTGCACTTACTCACTGAGGTCAAAGAGGGACTGAATTTTATATTAATATACAAAACAGATTCCATAATAATTCATGTCTGCCAGCAGAAGTGTTCTTATAAAATTTGGCAAATTGTAGATCAGTTTTCTGCGGTTCATGTTATCTCCTCTGTTTCCTCTGTAATTTTATAAACAAGACAACTTCTCGGAGAAGTACATCAAATGGCTTTATGTATAAATAAGAGGAATCTCTGTAAATGCCACTACATCATGCATTATTTGATTTCACAAATTCAATTCGCTGCCTGCCTGAAGCTAACTGTAACCATGTCACAAAAATTCTCAACCTAGACAGAGCAGTGTGATAAAGAGTGTTTGCTTGTTTTTTGGTTTTACATTCTGCTTGTTTTCATTCCCAAAGTTGCTGCCTTGTCATTTATGTAAAGACTGTGTCTGGAAACCTGAGTTAACTGGAGTCCTCTTGTAAAATTTGTGCCAGTGATAGTTGACACTGTAGTATCACAGGGACCACCAAACTTATTTGTATTAGTATGTTTTCACACTGCTGATGAAGACATACCCAAGACTGGGTAATTTATAAAGAAAAAGAGGTTTAATGGACTCACAGTTTCATGTGGCTGGGGAGGCCTCACAATCATGGCAGCAGGCGAGAGAGAAAATTGGAGCCAAGCGAAAGGCAAAACCCTTTATAAAAACATCAGATCTCATGAGACATATTCACCACCAGGAGAACAGTATGGGGGAAACCGCCCCCATGATTCAGTTATCTCCCATTGGGCCCCTCCTACAACACCTGGGAATTATGGGAGCCACATGGGAGCTGCAATTAAAGATGAGATTTGGGTGGGGACACAACCAAACCATATCACAATCCCACTTAATCTTTCCTTGCTTCCTAACTGTGAGCTATGCAACCTTTGGAATTTTATCTAAGTATTTCATTTTTGCTCAATTACCTGTTATACTGGAGGAGAATAAGAGAGAGAAGGCATTTTTCCTCTTTCTGTTTCCTCCTTAATTTTTCTTTCTTAATTCTAGGCAAAGACATGTTAATGATAATGTTGGTTTGGGGCACACAGAAGTCTGTTGTCTTCAAAACTGCAACTATACTGGCAGCTAACTCCAGTGATTAGCAGAATTGCTGCTAATTAAGGTTTAAGAAAAGCAAGCATGCTAATTCTCAAAGCAGTCTTTGATAGAGTGGATCAGGTCAGAGTATTCTGGTGTGGCTGTTTTCTTCTTTAGACTCTTAGATACTGGTTTCGTATCACCTGCGCTACTTCATGCTTCTTAGTATCTTGTTTTTTCATTTTGTTTTCTGACACACATTGCTCTGTTGTGCATTGGCATTCGACCTGGACTGCTTTCTGTTGAGTTGTTCCATTCTATAGTACCCATATACATCATACACAATCTCTGCACAGAATCATACACATAGGGCTTCAATAATGACTGCTTCTCTGCTTTCTCTCTGAGTACCTTCTGCACCCTCGATGTCTTCATTCCAGAGTGCTTATGAAGCGGGGCTGCTGTCAGATCTCCAATCATTTCTTATGAAAGGCTGGATAAGCATTGGACTACTTCCTAGAAATGTCTCACTCATGTAGATTTTGTTCCCAAAGCACTGCAGTCTTGTCATCAGAATCACTGCCTACTCTGAGCTTGCTGTCAATTTACCACTTTGAGTGGGAAAAGCATTGTGAGGCAGGAGGCAATGAGCTTTCTAGTACAAACAACATTTGTTTTTGGTTTTGGCTTTTTTTTTTTTTTTGAGATGGAGTTTCGCTCTTGTTGCCCAGGCTGGAGTGCAATGGCGTGATCTCGGCTCACCACAACCTCCGCCTCCTGGGTTCAAGCGATTCTCCTGCCTCAGCCTCCTGAGTAGCTGGGATTACAGGCATATGTCACCATGCCCGGCTAATTTTTTGTATTCTTAGTAGAGATGGGGTTTCTCCATGTTGGTCAGGCTGGTCTTGAACTCCCAACCTCAGGTGATCTGCCTGCCTCAGCCTGCCAAAGTGCTGGGATTACAGGTGTGAGCCACCGTGCCTGGCCAACAACATTTGTTAAACAAGCAATTATCATTCTCATGAGGCATTTTCTCTAATTGTTGGTCACTGTTGGTGATAAGGAATAGACACACACACACACACACACACACACACACAATTTTGTGTGTAGAGAGGAGGGCAAGTTATTTACAAATAGTTTTTATCTTGGAGATATTATATGTGCCTGTGTGGATTATATCTACCTGTGAATCCCATTCAGTTATTTGCACGTTGCCAAACAAATATGAGACATAAAATCCTCAACTGAATCAACCCATTTCAAAAGCCCAGTCTGCACAGTGAAAAACAACATGTTTTCCAAGCTCAGAACCAACTAACTTTTGCAGCCTAAAATGCACAGCATTAAGTCATTTATATACATATATATGCATATATTTTAAAGAAATTATTCCAAAGTAATTATGTGCTATAAACAAATGTTAGAGAATATTTAAGTTTGTTTATGTCAGGAAAATTAGCAAAGAAGATCTTGATTGACTGAATGGAACTGCCCACTTCCAGACTCCTTTTAGCCCTCGCAACTCCAGGTGTTCTGCTCTATTGAAGTATAAAATGGGTTATCATGTTTCTAGAGAATATCAAAGAAGTCAGGTGGGAAGTGGATTTCAGAAATGACATACTACCCAACCAGGATCTGGTTGTTCCTGACACTGACTGGATGTATTGTAGTATCTTCAGATTGGAGCACCTCCCTGGATTTGTTTTTGGGATTCTTCACTATTAGAAGGACTGAGGGGCCACATTAGAAGTGGATATTCTGCAGTCAGCCTAAATCCCATGTGGAAGTGGATTCAACCATTAAAAGGAATGAAGTACTGATGTGTGCTTTAACATGGATGAATCCTGAAAGCATTATGACAAGTGAAAGAAGCCATACACAAAAGGCTGTGTATTGTATGATTCTGTTTATGTGAAATGTCTAAAATAGGCAAATCCATACAGAAAGAAAGGAGGTTAGCCTAGAAGGGAGAGTCTAGAACACCAGTAAATGCTGGGTTTCTGGCTGTGTCTTGCAGAAGAGCCTCAATTTTGTGCTTATACTGAAGGTATGTCTAAGCTGGGTCCAAGGTAATTGTTAGCTTCTCTCCATGAATCTTTGGCAGAGGAATGCTTCAGTGTCCATGAGATATATTTGTGTGGAACAGAGGAAGGCAGCTATGGATATTTCCCCACCTATTGATGATAATTAAAAATCACCCATGCCTGGATCTTTATGATCAACTTGGGCCTTCAAAAATTGGTTTTTGTTTCCTAAGTCCTATTGGGATTTCTGCCCAGCCAGATTTGGAGATAAGTATTCCCCAATCATTGTGCTATGATCCTTATTTCCCTCTGTCTGAATGGATTGGGATGTTATTATTTTGGCTTGCATTTGCACGAATATGGCAATCAATCTTGAGATGTAATTTGTATTGGGCTACCTTGTACCCAGACCTCAGTGTGCCCACCCTTTAGATGTTTGCTTTTATTTGGGGGATATAAAGGTCATAAACCTTGAGCCCTATCAATGACATCACCTACAGTCTCAGATCTTTTCTTCCCCTCCCCATACTTTATAAAACTCAGTGCTTATATTACTAGTAAATTCCATGTCCATGTTAGTGTGATGTCTTGGTCCTGTAAAGAGTTTGTCTGTGTGTGATATGGAACTCAATAAGCCCATTGTGATTCGGACTGCTCTTTGGGAAGTTTCAGTTGCTCTCTAATTCTAAGCAGGGACAATTTCTGGTCCTCAGTTGAGAAATCACCTGGCAATAGTTGATATTAGGCATAACTATTAGGTTGAACTATATACCCTGTCTTGTATGTCAAAAATAGTCAAATATCAGTAATATTGTGTGTTTTCACTAAAGGGAGTGTGATTTCCTTGAGATCAGGATATATCTTGCTCATTTTTGTTCATACCCTTCCATCATACCATCCTAACACAGTGCCTGATAAAATTATTGAAGAAATGAGTGAATGAATGTATGCATTAGTTCCCCATTTGAAGTGCTCATGTCTAACTCAGGACCTGGATGTACCCCTGTATGCTGCATTCATTTCCTTACTATCAGAGGACCATCCTGTATTACACAAGAACTGTGTTTGAAAACAACAAGCTGTCTTGCTTAGTTCAAGCTTAAGGTGCATTCTGAGGAACGGGAGAAATGAGTCAGGGGCTGAATGTTGGGTGAGACTATGAAGGGCTATGAGTGACATTCCTGGGACTTTGGATCTTACTCCATAGCCAACTGGGAGTTATTATTGGGTTTTGAAGCAGAAATCCAACTGTTTTTGCTTTAGTGGAACATGTCTGTATTTTAAAAGAAAACTATATTTATTCATCCTTTGATGGACAGAATGCTAATATCGAAAAGACAGATGTATTTACCTTGAGGAAAGGGATAATTTATGTGCATTCAATCCTACAAAATCCTTCACATAGCACAGTATAAGCCTGATTACACATGATTAATAATTGCACACGGGCTGATTGCTGGGCATTCTTGGCTGGGATGTTGTTGTAGATAATTAAAGATTTATTTGGCTGAAAATACCTACCCTAGCTAGAGAGTGGTTGGCTGTTGTTGCTAGAAAATCTCCTCACATGCATGACAGTTCAGGAGGATGATGATGTTTTAGAAGCATCCACTTGGAGATGCCAGGAAATGGAAAGCCTGTGTGAAGGACATGTAGAGATTTACAGATGCCCCTAGCTGTGTCCACAGAGCAGCAAATTCTGACTTATCGTCCCTGCCTTGACAACATGTGAATAAATTTCTGACAGGCGTTAGCAATTGAATTTCCCCAGGTATAATAAATTGCCTCTCTCTCTGATCATTTCATATTGTATGCTGAGTCTTTTCAAAGCTTTGAGCCTGAGCTATAAACCTGACATGACCTGTTTGAACTTCTAGGAAGGGCAGGTGCTTGGCAAAGATGTGGATAAGAGGAAGTGTCTCTCCTTTTCTGCCTGCCTTTCTGGCCACCAGCAATACCCCCACCACCACTGCTTCCAAGCCTTTGGTGTGTGCCATGCTCATCTAGGGATGGGGAAAGGGATTCCTCTTCTAACAGTGAGTCATATAAAATAAACCATTCTTGCCCACCTTTAGAACCTTCATAAGTCTTTCATGCCACATGTCAGCCCAGCCATCTGTGACAATGATTAAATAGTTGCTGTCACTGGTGGTGTATCTGTTAGGTGTGGTTAAATGTTCAATACCAAGATTCAGAATGTTGGAGCCGGTATTATCCGAAGGTCCACAATCCGAGGTTGCTCCTTCATACTTACAGAGGGGCACAGAACTGCCCAGAGTTAAGTGTTCTGCCTAACGACACCCAATAAGCCAAGAGTTAAATGTCCTGTTCAACATCACCCAACCAAGCTAGTGAACAAGCCAGGCCTGGGACCAAGGAAACTGGACTTTAGCCTAGGATCCTCCCACTGCACTGTGCTTTCTTCATTCCATTCATCAGACAACAGCTTTGGTGAGCCTTTCAAAGCATAAAACAAATTGTATCACTCTTCTGTTAAAAAAAACCCTCCAATGGCTTCTCAACCCACCCAGAAACAAATTCAAGGTCCTTAAATGTGAAGTCCCGGGTGGTCTAACCTCATCCACATCTCCCAGCT
Organism: Homo sapiens; assembly: GCF_000001405.40. Classification (NCBI taxonomy): domain Eukaryota; kingdom Metazoa; phylum Chordata; class Mammalia; order Primates; family Hominidae; genus Homo; species Homo sapiens. The sequence goes on from NC_000001.11 coordinate 234,087,775, forward strand.
CATTTCCCTCTGCCCTCTCTGTTACAGCCATGGGGCTTCCTTGGTGATAGTGGTCACACACACCAGGGTTATCCCTGCCTCAAAACTTTAGCACAACATTCTTCTGCCTGCACTGCACCTGCCTCAGATAGTGACATGGCCCTTCTTTATTCATTGTTCACGGGTCCTTTTCTTGACCCTTTCTAAAACATCCCCTCCACACCTGCCTCCAGCTTAGTCTCCTCATTCTGATATATTCTTCTATATTTACTTCTTTGTGTTTTCATTCCTCCCTCCCAGGAGAATGTAAGCTCCATGAATGCAGGGGATTTCTCTCTTCTGTACGTTGTATTTCCAGCACCTACAGCAGTGATTTGCAGATAGAAGGTACTCAGTAAACAGTTTTGTTGTTGTTGTTGTTTTGAGACAGAGTCTCACTCTGTTGTTTTGTTTTGATACAGAGTCTTGCTCTGTTGTTTTGAGACAGAGTCTCGCCCAGGCTGCAGTACAGTGGCGCGATCTCGGCTCACTGCAACCTCCATCTCCTGGGTTCAAGCAATTCTCCTGCCTCAGCCTCCCAAGTAGCTGGGATTACAGGCATGCACAACCATGCGCAGCTAATTTTTGTATTTTTAGTAGAAAGGGATTTTTGCCATGTTGGCCAGGCTGGTCTCGAACTCCTGACCTCAGGTGATCCACCCACCTCGGCCTCCCAAAGTGCTGGGATTACAGGCGTGAGCCACTGTGCCCAGCCAGTAAACAGTTTTGAATCAATGAATGACTGGATTTATTTTCAGGTTTTTTCAGAATCTATTGTCATTTATTTGCTAACTCAATAGAAGTACCGAATTAAAATATTTTCAGTTTAGTTTGTCTAGTACTTTTTAAGCATGCATTTTGTGTTTTGCCATATTTTGTATGTTGTGGGGGCTGACAAAGAACTGCACACCACAGACTATTAGGGATTTTACACATGTCATAAGGAATGTTACAGAACACAGAAGATTTCTTTTTTTCTTTATTTTTGAGACAGAGTCTCTCTCTGTCATCCAGACTGGAGTTCAGTGGCACGATCTTGGCTTACTGCAACCTCCACCTCCCAGGTTCAAGCAATTCTGGTACCTCAGCCTCCTGAGTAGCTGGAATGACAGGCACACACCACCACACCCAGCTAATTTTTGTATTTTTAGTAGAGAGGAGGTTTTGCCATGTTGCCCAGGCTGGTCTCCAACTTCAGGGCTCCAGCAATCTGCCCACCTCGGCCCCCCAGAGTGCTGGGATTACAGGCATTAGCCATGGTGCCTGGCTGAGGATTCCAGGTAATCGTTTATGCACAAAGAAAACTGGTGTTCCACGAGGCAGTGTTGGCATTAAGAAGAACTTGGATTTAAGAGTCCTCACCCAGGGCACACACTTTTCCACCGAGCATAGTCCCAGCTCCTCCTTGTTGTGTAATGTCTGATAATTTCACTCATTAAATTACCCAGACAGACCATAAAGTCCTCTCAGTTTGCATCACCTGAAAGTCAGTCAGCCTGGGCTGTGAGGATTGTGAGGTAGAACTCACTGTGGAAGGACGGCATTAGGGAAGACTTTAGGAAAATGGAGAGAGAACCAAGGGGCTTTCTAATAGATGAAAGCAGCATGTGCCAAGCACAGGGAATAGGAATGATAGTGTTGGCCATTCAGGTGGTTGGATGGTGGGTGTTGAGTGCAGCTGGGAGAAAAACAGATGAAGGACCCTGCAGTGTCTTCACATCAGTGTTCAGGCAGGCAGAGGGCAAATGCAGGACAGCAAAGCTGCATTTCAGAAGGTTCGTCTGCTGCCTCCAGTGGACAGAAAGCACATGAGCAGGGAGGGAGGTCAGGTGTACCCCGGGGTGGTCACATCTTAATATGCACAGGGCTTTTTAGAAGTTTCCACCTCATAGAAGACAGAAAATGAGTGTGTGCACCAGCTCACTGGGTAGGAGGAGAGGCAGTTCGCCACTGGAGGGGATAGGTTGGGGCTCTGTCCACCTATAAATATTGAGGTACCCTTGTCACCCATGGGGCAGAAAGTGAGAGAGAAGTGGCATAGAGTATGGAAATAAAGAAACAGACAGGGATGCACTGATGTACTAGATAAGATAGGAAAATGTGAAAGATAAAAAGATATACCAAGATAACTCCACAGGCCCAGGCCTTTGAAACCAGGAGAATTCCTTTTGAAAGAATACTTTCCTTTGCAGATCATATATATTTTTAAGTACATGGAAAGGTAGAGGGCTATCAAATCTTGTTTGAAGAGCCCAGATACCAAGCAATGATAAATTTTAAACAAGGCTCTTTGGTGTGACAATTTGGCAATGTGCTGTCAATCACAGAGAGCCTTTTGAGGTTGGTGGCTCTCAGCCCTCAGTCCTTGAAGCATTGCTTCATGTCGTTCACTCATTGAATCATCCTTAGTCAATGCTGAGCACTGTGTGCTATGTGCCAGAGGCACAACACACTCACAGCACAGCAAAGAGACAAACCTTTGCCTTAGAATGGGTAAGAGCTATGAAAGATTTGCACACAGCCGTGATACTACGGGAAGGTGCACATACTGCTGTCACAGATTGTTACGGACCAGATTTGTTCTGCCAGCATGCAGTGAGCCAATCACTGCAGCAACAGGTTTTGCAAAAGAGAAAATATTTTTTATTCACAAGGCTGCAGAGCAAGGAGACAGGAGAATAAATCTCAAATCCACCTCTCCAGAAATAAGGCTCGGGGGTACTTATAGGAAAGTAGGCAGCATGGTCTAAAGTATGGGGAAAGTTAACTGGCAGGTACGAAAGGTGAGGTAATCAGGGTTTCTGTGCAAGCATCATCAAGCTACATGGCTCTTCTTAAGACCCATGGTCAGAAAATAGCAGCGTTAGCATGATCTAAGGGTGGAGTTTTTGGCTCTCTGACATCAAAAGGACACTTTTTGGGTTCCTGCACAGGCCTAGTTGAAGGGTCAGTGGTCTCAACCAGCTTGAACTGGACAAGAGCTGCCCTCAGTTCCTGAAAAACAACTATAAGCACCTGTTAAGTCAATGACCCACAGCCAGAAATGTTATCTATAAAGAAGCTAGTGGGAGTTTTAAGACTAGAAGTAATCAATTACAGCAAGCAAGGCAGGTGAAGTTTGGCAGGCTCAATCTGGTTAGCCCTCCGTTTCAACACGGGGAGGAACATATTTTCTTCAAGGGTTCCTGACACACCACTGAGTTGTTCAAGCACCAAAACTTCAATGGTGCAATAACTTCACTTTAGCTTTGTTTGTTTTGCTTTTTAATTACGCAAGTAATACATGAACATGTTTGCATATAAAAGATACACCCAATACAAAAATAGATATAATAAAAAGCAAAAGTTTCCTTCATTCATTCCCACTAACCGAACTCCTACACCTTCTTGGAAATAACTACTGTTAATAACTATGATGATAGCTTGACCTAGTCCTCACTCTATCCCCTAGCGGCTCTGAGGCACTATCACCCTACCTTGAGGCTTTTGTTCTCCAGCCCTGCTGTCTGTTTACTCTCAGTCCTTTAATGGACAAAAACCAAGGCCCTTTCTTCCTGTAGGTTTTCTCCTAAAATTTCTTCAAGTCCAACTGGATATGCAGCAAACACTCACCCCTGCCTTAATCAGCTTATTTGTGGGACCACGACCTGAGGAGGGGAACCCTTGGAGGAAATTACAAAGTGCTCACTTCTCTGAGACCAGGGTGGAAAGTCTGTTCATGCATCTCCAACCCTGGGCCCTGCCAGTGCATTCTCTGCCCTGCTCAAAAGGGAGAAGCAGTCAAGCCAAAAAGCCAAACTCCTACACCTTCTCAGAAATAACAACTCTTATTAATTTGGTTTGTGGTCTTCTAAACCTTTTTTCTATACACCATTTAGGTATATCCAGAAATATATGGAAAGGATGGTATTTATATTTAAATGAGCCTCTTCCCTATGCATTATTTTATAACTTGCTTTTTTCACTCACTGTGTCATAGATTTCTGCACCTCTCTGTGTCTATCTTAAACAGTTGTTTTAGTATCCATGGGTTGACTGAGCCGTATTTAGTTAAGTCTGCCTCACTTAGTATTGGCTGTTTTCCCCACGCAGTATTAGTGCCTATCTTGTCCTCACGCTACCTGCTTGGAGGCAGAAGGGGAGCTTGCCCCACTGGGCTTTCTTTGGTTGTGAGAAGCAAGCTTCTTGTCCCATGAAGGCCAAGCACAGCTGTTACTACATGCCCTTGTGCCACCACTGAAGGGCTCAGCCATTTGGTTTTTAAAATTTCACTTCCAGGAGCTGGAAGGCAGCCAACCCTGGAGAAAAGAGAACTTGGTGCCTACTGTGAGCTCAGAAGACACACCCAGAGGGAAGTTTCTCCTGGAGGTTTAAGTTCCAAAAACATTCTGCCAGGTTATAGGCTGCCTTTCCCTGAGTTTATCTCTGTCTGGCTTTATTATCAAGTTCCTTTACAGAAACTTGGGTAAGACTTTACCAAAGCAGTGAAGTAAAAATGTATTAATAGGGAGTTGAATGTTACTCTATTCTTAGAGTCTTCCTTTCTCTCTTCCATTCCCTCAGGAGTTCTCTTAGACCAGGCTGTTATAAAAGTGAGAGGACCCCTCTCCCACCCCCTCCTACACTTGCCCCAGAGTTTCTTGCCATTTCTGAACACCTAAGAGGACTGTATTGTTACAGAAATGGCATTGGAACCAACATGGCACTGTGAAAAGCCTTGGCTTGATGCTGAGGCTACAGACCTGTCATATTTGGATTGCAAAGTGCTGCGAATAAAAATGAATGTAGGAGGCTGGCTAGCATGGCAGTTCACACCTGTAATCTCAGCATTTTGGGAGGCCAAGGCAGGAGGATCACTTGAGCCCGGGAATTTGAGACCAGCTTGGACAACATAGCAAGATCCCATTTCTGCAAAAATTTAAAAATTAGCTGGGCATGGTTGGTGCATGCCTATAGTCCCAGCTACTCGGGAAGCTGAGGCAGGAGCATCACTTGAGCCCAGGAGTTCGAGGCTGCAGTGACCCATAATTGCACCAGTGCACTCCAGCCTGGATGACAGAGCAAGACCCTGTCTCTAAAAAAGAAAATTAAATTAAAAGATAAATAAAATAAAGATGAATGTTGGTCACTGAAGAAACATCTCTACTCTCCAGTCGGCTGAGTCTCCACCACTCCCTGTTTCATTCATTTATGCTTCTAAACTAATCCTATAGGCACGAAGTGGGTGAAGTCTGACGTCTTGGCTTGGCTTTGCCACATAGAGTGTCTGGATTGTGGGACACTCATTTAACATCTTTGGGCCTCAATTTCCTAATTTGTGGAAAGTTATAGCATGAGCTAATTGTATATATCAGCTCTGGTAAACAATAAAGACTAACCCATGAGAATGTGCAGGACAATATTAATTACACTCACAGCATGCCTCCCAACATTGTCTCTTTGCCAGAATGTATATTTGAGAACAAAAGGCTTTATCTGGCTCAATTTTGAGCTTATCTACTCCCAGATAACTTTTCTGACATATTCCCACTGCATTCTGATAAGATAAAAACACTCTGCAAACAGAAAAGTACTACAAAATATCATCAATGATAGCCTCACAGTAACCTAGTCCTCACCGTATCTCCCAGTGGCTCTGAGGCACCATCACCCTACCTTGAGGCTTTTGTTTTCCAGCCCTGCTCTCTGTTTACTATCAGTCCTTTCATGGACAAAGACCAAGGCCTTTTCTTCCTATAGGTTTTCTCCTAAAATTGCTTCAAGTCCAACTGGACATGCAACAAACACTCACCCCTGCCTTATCAGCTTATTTGTGGGACCACGACCCGAGGAGGGGAACCCTTGGAGGAAATTGCAAGATTCTCACTTCTCTGAGACCAGGGTGGAAAGTCTGTTTGTGCAGCTCCAGCCCCGGGCCCTGCCGGGGCATTCTCTGCCCAGCTCCAAAGGGACAACCAGTCTAGCCAAGAAAGAAAGGAAATGCCAGCCTCCTAAATATGCTGTGGACAGAAACAAAGACAAGTTACCCTATGTCTTGCCATTTCCCCTGTGCACGTGGTGACAAGATGATCCAAGTAGGATGGGCAAGAAAAACTGGAACACTCTTGGAGAGGGAGTCTGCAGCTGCAGGATGTTTTTGCCAGATGCAAACACATTGGCCAAGAACAGTGCTTGCTCTGCAGCCAGCGCTGTCCAAGCAGCAGACCGCCCAGACGGCCAGGAAGCAGAGGCCCTGGAGCACATGGCCCACAGTCGCTGTGCACTCAGGTGTCAGGTCAAACTTCCAGGACTGGTGCAGACTGTGGTCTCCTGTGCCTACCTTCCTGGCAGAGTGAATTAGCCTTCACCTCTGGGGACTCAGCCGCTGCCCAGAATTTGATTCTCTTTCCACCAGTAACTTCAATTTAGAGAAAAATTTAGAAGCCTATTTTCATGAAGACAGATGAAGGAGTCTGTGCTGGTTCCTTTTCTGCCTCTGTTTCTGGAGGGAGACCAACTAAATGAAATTCAGCAGCAGAATCCAACCGGAACTAGTAGGAAATTGATTTGCTTTTTAAATCCTCTAGCTTCATGCAATGAATTATCTTAAGTTCAGCTTCAGATAGCAAGAGCACTATATGCTCATGGCAATTTCCCCAGCCAGGGTCTGCTTCAGTAGAGTGACACTTTGTTATCAGAGAGGCTGTCTTGGGTGCTACAGGCAATTCCCTGTTGGTGCCTGATTGTTTTCTGTAAATCTTTTAGTTAGTGGTGTCCATGGAAACAGCATGTGATTGATGGGCCATTATTAGGTTGGACACTGTCTAACCATTAGTGGAACTAGGAGCTGACCCTGAGCCCCAGGAATGAAGGCCTCTGATTTCCAAACCCCTCTCTATCTCTACAGTTTCTGAAGTATATGGCATTATAGGATTCGGCAGGGGGCGCTTTTATGAGGCATGAGGGAGGCTTGATAGGGGCTTTGAAGGCACTGATGGCAATTGGTGAAGTAGACTTTTATCTAAAGGGGGCAGAGATGGCAGGTGATGGCTTAAAATGGCAGGAGAGATCAATGGTTCAGTCTGCCTATCTCTGTCTAGTACATGGGTAGACATGTGCACACATACACATAACAAGGAAGGAAATTGCTTACCTGCTAGTTCTCATTTTTGTAACTGGTCATAAACCATAGTTAGTACTTACTACTTCCTTTTGTCACTACACATTGCACTTTACATCCACCCTCCGCTGGCAGGGGGGTTTATCTGATCAGTTGACTCAACCTTTATTCCTGAGAAGTCTGAATCCTCAGTGGTTCTGCCTATTTTTGGTTGCTGTCATTTTCTATTAAATTTTACTATTTATTAGATATGAAATTACTCCCAGAGAAGAAGAGAGAAAATGATCTAGGCCTAGGAAACTATCTAGTGAGATTGCTGAAGAGCACCAGGGGCCTCCATGAAGTTCATGGTCATTAACTTAAAATGGAGCCAGTCAGTATAACTGTGGGTGGTGAGCTGGATTTAAACAGATTTGGGCCTTTGCCAGGTGAGTAGGAAGGAGGGAGAGGGGCTCAGGGAGCTGGAGGTATATCCAAAAGCATGATTATAACAATGAACCATGAGGTTCTGGCTAAATGATGAGGAAAGAACAAGCATGAAAGGGAACCAGCACATGCAAAGGTGGGAAGAGGGATGGATTCGAAGTCAAGAGAAGTGATGTGACTGGAGCCATGTTATTCCCCACTTCAGTTAGGCTTGTTTGTAAGTTCAATGCTCGTAATTTGGAGACTATATAAACTTTTTAGAGTTCCTGATAACTTTCTTAGACATTTTATTTATATGACATGATTTAATTCATGAGAGCATGGGTATTGGTATCATGAAGGGCAACAGATTGTCATCATTGACTCGGGCATCCCAGGAGTCAACCTACTTGGGGTCTAATCATAGTTCTGCCACTTACTTGCTGGGGGAACTTCAGCAGGTTGTTCCACCTTTCTGTGCCTCAGTTTTCTCATCTGTAAAATGGGAATAATAGTCTCTGTCATAGGGAGATGGTGGGGATGAATGAGTTAATGTTCACTTAGCACTTGGAAATGTGCCTGGCACATCATAAAGTCTCATGAAGTATTAGCTATTACTGTTGTAATCAGTGAGTGCTTTTCTACTGTGCAATGGGACATTTTCTATTTTAATTCCATCCTGAAATAGGTGAGAGATTTTGCTTCCATTTCTTCTTTGTTTCATGTGTTTCTTACCTAAGCAAGAAAATAGTTTCTAGCCCAAACTGTGCTTATGTTTATCAAAGCAGGCTTTCAAGCACCTTTTCTTCTTTCTAACATTTTGCTCTTTGACACTCCATGTGTTCTGTAAATATTTCCTTTTCTCCCCTCAGTGTCCTTTCCACGACTTGTAGTGTCCAGGGTTTTCCTGTACTCCTTTATCTCTGAAGGAATCAGGAAACATTAGCAAAATGTCTACCTCTCTTTCCCCACATCACCCTTTTTCCTCGGCTCTCCCAGCCTCCCTGGGAAAGCAGCCCGCTTCTCCCTCCGTTTGGCTACACAGGAAGGATCAGTTGTAAAGCTCTGCTTGGAGAGGGATTCCGTTAAATAGCTACACTCTGTAGCTCTGGCCAACCCATGGAACGTGCTTCATCAATATTTATTTCATTGTCGATCTTCCATCAGCCAGCTCTTTATCACATGTATAGCTACAAAGAATGTAGTCCATCTCTATCTTGACAGGTTTGCCTCTCTCCACAGCAGAACATGAGTGTCTTTATTTGTGGGGCATTTGAGGAACTACAAATTGTTCTGCATAGCTGGAACAAAAAGCCCCAGAGCCAGTGGTGAGAGGCAAGACTGGAGAAGGTTGGGGGAGCTAGATTCTTAGTCTGAAAATATAGTATAGGCTTCACTGCAGCATTTTCTCACAATAGTCTGGTAAATGGATTTGAGGGTGGGTAAGCCTGAGTGGAGACAGGAAGACCAATTACAAGGCTATTTCAATGACCTAATATTGCAGTGATAGAAAAGATGTCTTTCTTTGCAGGGTAGATACCCAGCAGTGGAATTGCTGGATCGAACGGTAAATCTACTTTGTTAAATTCTTTTTTTTTTTTTTTTTTCTTGAGACGGAGTTTCACTCTTGTTGCCCAGGCTGGAGTGCAATGGTGTGCTCTCGGCTCACCACAACTTCCACCTCCTGGGTTCAAGCGATTCTCCTGCCTCAGCCTCCTGAGTAGCTGGGATTATGAGCATGCGCCACCAGGCATGGCTAATTTTGCATTTTTAGTAGAGACAGGGTTTCTTCACGTTGGTCAGGCTGGTCTCGAACTCCCGACCTCAGGTGATCTGCCCACCTCAGCCTCCCAAAGTGCTAGGATTACAGGCATGAGCCACCGGGCCCAGACTACTTTGGGAAATTCTTTAAGAAATCTCCATACTGTTTTCCATAGAGATTGTATTAATTTACACTCCCACCAGCAGTGTCTAAGTGTTCCCTTTTCACCACTACACAATTCATCCATGTAACCAAAAATCACTTGTACCCCAAAGCTATCAAAATTAAAAAGAAAATTAAAAAGATGTCTTCCATTTATTGAGCACCTACCTTGTACAGCATGACCTCATTTCATCCTAACATCCACTGAGAGTTTTGGGTGTCACTGTGTCCCATTTAGAGAGGGAGCACCTGGGCTCAGGGAAATTAAGAGATAGCAAAGTGTCAGAGCTGGAATTTGAACCAAAGTCTACACACACATACACGCACACACACGCACACACGCACATTATTTGTTTTTTTCTCACTGCATACTGCCTAATACAAGTAGCCTCCCTCATCTGGGGGAGAAGTCATGGAACCTGAGCTAAGATAATGGCTGTGGGAATTAAGAGGAGGAGGTAGAAGTGATAAGACCTGGTGACTGGATTTGAAGTAAAGGAGAAGAAGGAATCCAGGATGATTCCCAAGGTTTGGGCTTGTCTGACTGGGAAATGATGGTACAATTTACAAATATAGGCCATGACAGAAAATACAGGTGTGGTAGAGATAAGAATTTTGCATATATGAAAGAGATGAAGAGACATGTCAGTGTCTTGCACATTCAAGACACTTGCCAAGTGAAGGTGATGTGATGGTGGTGGTAGTGATGGTGTTATAGGGTGATGGTGGAGGTGGTGACTGTGTTGGTGGTGGCAGTTCAGATGGTGGTGGTAGTGACGGTGTTATAGGGTGATGATGGAGGTGGTGACTGTGTTGGTGGTGGTGGTGGCAGTTCAGATGGTGGTGGTAGTGATGGTGTCATAGGGTGATGATGGAGGTGGTGACTGTGTTAGTGGTGGTGGTGGTGGCAGTTCAGATGGTGGTGGTAGTGATGGTGTTATACGGTGATGATGGAGGTGGTGACTGTGTTGGTGGTGACAGTTCAGATGGTGGTGGTAGTGACGGTGTCATAGGGTGATGATGGAGGTGGTGATTGTGTGTTGGTGGTGGTGGTGGTGGCAGTTCAGATGGTGGTAGTGATGGTGTTATAGGGTGATGATGGAGGTGGTGATTGTGTTGGTGGTGGTGGTGGCAGTTCAGATGGTGGTGGTAGTGATGGTGTCATAGGGTGATGATGGAGGTGGTGATTGTGTTGGTGGTGGTGGTGGCAGTTCAGATGGTGGTGGTAGTGACAGTGTTATAGGGTGATGATGGAGGTGGTGACTGTTGGTGGTGGCAGTTCGGATGGTGGTGGTAGTGACTGTGTTATAGAGTGATGATGGTGGTGGTGATTATTGGTGGTGGTGGTGGCAATTCAGATGGCGGTGGTAGTGACAGTGTTATAGGGTGATGGTGGTGACTGTATTGGTGGTGGTGGTGGCAGTTCAGATGGTGGTGGTAGTGACGGTGTTATAGGGTGATGGTGGTGACTGTATTGGTGGTGGTAGTGGCAGTTCAGATGGCAGTGGTAGTGATGGTGTTATAGGGTGATGGTGGTGACTGTGTTGGTGGTGGTGGTGGCAGTTCAGATGGCGGTGGTAGTGATGGTGTTATAGGGTCATGATGGAGGTGGTGACTATGTTGGTGGTGGTGGCAGTTCAGATGGCGGTGGTAGTGACGGTGTTATAGGGTGATGGTGGTGACTGTGTTGGTGGTGGTGGCAGTTCGGATGGTGGTGGTAGTGATGGTGTTATAGGGTGATGATGGAGGTGGTGACTGTGTTGCTGGTGGTGATAGCAGTGCAGATGGTGGTGGTAGTGATAGTGGTACCTGCATTGAAGCAACAGCAATAGGAGTGGCAATAAATTGTTGTTTTCACCATAGTCCTTTCCTATATTCCACATGTTCTGTTACAGAGGGAGATAGATTTGCTAGAAAAGGCAGAAATCATATCATAACCACAATGATGGAGGTCCAAGTCTGTTATTGGCGTGCTGAAACTTAAACTACCATAGTTTACTTAGCAGTGGTTTCTGGGGAGCAACAAAGTGCAATAGAATAATATTGGGAATGATAATGTTTGGTTCTTCTTGAGACAAACTTTTAGATACCTTAAAAAAAGATTTTACCGGCCGTGCGCTGTGGCTCACGCCTGTAATCCCAGCACTTTGGGAGGCTGAGGCAGGCAGATCACGAGGTCAAGAGATCGAGACCATCCTGGCCAACATGGTGAAACCTCGTCTCTACTAAAAATACAAAAATTAGCTGGGTGTGGTGGCGGGAGCCTGCAGTCCCAGCTACTCAGGTGGCTGAGGCAGAAGAATCGCTTGAACCCTGGAGGTGGACGTTGCAGTGAGCTGAGATCGCGCCACTGCACTCCAGCCTGGCAACAGAGCGAGACTCTGTCTAAAAAAAAAAAAAAAAAAAACAAAAAAAAGATTTTACCAACATGTACTGCATCTTAGTCAAGGAGCAATACAAGAGAACACAGAGTTGCATTCTCTTCCAACACAGCCACCTTCCTAAGCAATTTGTCTTCTCTCAGTGTGATGCACCCTGCACAATGAGGTTGAATAGCTACTGGATAACTGAAGGATCTAGTGGAGAAGAATGAAAGATTGTGGAAAGCAAAATGAAAACATTCTACACTTTTGAGTTGATGTGAGTTTGATATTGCAAGCCTGCTTTAGAAGTATTTGCTAAGTGCACAGAGCATTGTATAATTCTGTTAACAATTAAGGAATAGACTTGGAGTGTCAATGAGTCTTAAATAACAATTGCTTTATATAATCCACATACTACTTTATATTAAACATGGCAGTAGCAGACATTAACACTCAAGGTGTTCTGCATGATTAGGTGTTGTGAATCTTAATTCTTAATCAAGTATATATAAATTGGGGTTTGTGGTGCTTATTAAACATGACAGCTAAATTAACAAAAGAAGAGGAAGAAACTAAATGAAAATGAAATTGTGAATACCATTATCATCACTATTCCACCCCCACTTTCTCCAATCCTACCTTTGAGTCAAGATTCTGAATGAAACCTTTGTGGAAAGAACCAGGCTCTATCTGATATTATAATTATTTCTCCAACGTCTGCCGAGAAACAGTCCCTCAGGCTTTGCTACAATATTTCCAATAACAGTTATATTATTATTTAGATGCACCTATATCGACGTCTTTTAATGTCTATCTGTTGTTCCTCATGTGGTATTTTTGAGTGAAACTCGCTAAAAAGGCAGAGAGGTAGCCAAGAAGCTGGTGTTGCCTTGTGGACAGATAATCAAAAAAGTGTGATGAGCATTCTCCCTTAGAATTCCTGGGAGATTTTGTTCAATGTGTTTATTTCCCATGGAAATGTTTCTAAGTCTGTTTGTGGTTATAATCAATCTAAATGGTCCTGGAACAACTTGGTGATCTAACTTGGAAATAAATAGATTAAAAGTGTAGATACACATATGCACATTAATACTCTGAGGGAGGGAGACTAAAAGGAATAGAGGGACAGAGAGACCCTTTCTATCTATACCTAAGCCAGTGAACTCAAACATGGCCTCCCCATGGAGCAAAAAAATGGGTGCCTCATGCAGGAGTATGCTTTTGCTTCCACAGAGCATATTACTTCTGCCAGAAAGTGCGATGCCAGGATGGGGCAGGAATCCTAACTAGGCTACTTTGTGATTCATGCCTCGATTGCATATACACAGTGTTTTCCGGAGCTCTTTTTGGTGGTGATCCACCTCATCAGCCTCCTCACCCATCACTCTTCATTTCACCAACCACACCTCAACCACTTGGGGCTTTTTCCAGTCCCTGGAACACAAGCCCCTTCCTACCAGATGGCCTCCTCCCATACCTTTCCCTCTGCTTGGAATGCTTTCAGATAACCTTCCTATTTCAAATTAGCTAACTCCTCCTTGCCCTTCAAGTCTCAGAGAGGTGACCCTGTGCCACAAAAGCAGGTTGGGTGCCCTGCAGTATGGACTCAGCACTCACGGCAGTCAATGGTTATTCATTAAGTATAATAGTTGGGTCTGTTTTCCTTTACATACATAAGCTCCATGAGGGTAGAGAGCCTCCCTTTCTCACTCAGTCAATATTTTTATTCAACAAGTACTTCCGGTTGACTATTTATAAAAGAAACATGGCACCATGTTCTTGCCCAGACACTCCTGAAAACTGGAAGAAGGTGGAGATAGTAACAGAACCAACACCTAGCTGATGTCATTGTCATACCAATGTTCTTCCCCTTATGTCTGTAGTTCCTCTACTATTAATACAAGTTAATCTGGGAAGTTAATAAACATGTTTTCTTCTTAGTATAGTTACTCTGAGTGTATATTGGATTGTCGTGAGGATTAAATAAGAAAGCATACGAAATGGTTCTTGGCTCACAGTAAGTGCTTAAAAAATGTTGGTTATTTTCCTGAGCCCAGAATAGCACTTACAGCACTTTTCTAGACCTTTCTATACCCAAGAATTCCCAGGCATGACGGGGGTTGAAAGCACTGTGTAAACATTTAGCAAACAAATCATGTACCTTTTTCTTGACACATTCTTAGGACAGAAAAAATATTGGAAGGGACGTGGGTCAAATAGTGGCTAGGAGAGAAGATAAATCAGAGATTCTACGTCCTTAAGAATCAATTAGCTATCTGCAAAGTATTTTATTTTGCTGTAGCAATATCAGGATAAACTTAAAATAGGCCACAGGCATGTTCTGCCTCCGATTCAAGAAGCCGGAAGCATAGATTAGAGGATTCCCATTCCGCTCCATAGAGAGAACAATGTTCCTGACTCACACACCAGGTACCACTGCAGGAGCACAGGGCTGCCACAGCACACCTGACTGCTGAGGAAGTCACTGGATTTGGTTTACAGCTCTTCAGAAAGTATCACTACCCATGGTCACGTAGAAGGAATTTACTTTCCCCCTTTCCATGTGGAGAAAAAGAGGAACTCCATATCTTTCATCCCCTGGGACCTCTTTAGAGAAGAGATGCTCTGTTTGATAAAAGCAAAAGCTTGAGTTTTAAATCCAGATCTGCCATTGCCCTCTTGAAACTTGAGAACAAGAGCTCAGGATGGATTCAGACCCGGATCAGGTTTGTTTGGAATGGTTTTTTGGGGAGGTGTGTGTGTGTTTGTGTGTGTGTGTATTTTATCATGATTCCTTGTTTTGAAGAAGACAGAAAAGTGAGTTTGAGAAATGACTCCTGAACCATCTGCTCAAGGAAAGAGACAGAAGTCCTTTTCCAGAAGAGCCCAGTCGTGTGCAAGATCTAACCTTTCAGTATCTGTGCTTTCTTAGTCTGTAAATTGTGAGCATTCTTTCTCCCTGTAGAGGGGAAGAGATGAATGAGTTAGTGCCTAAGCCTTGGCGTGTTTCATTGCCCAGGAGGTGAGAATCAAACTGGGATGAAAAGCATCAGAAACCCCAAATGTCATCCAAGCTGTGACTGCTGCCTGTGACATAACAACTTCAGCTCTCCACGACTCCCCTCTTGCTCCTTCTGCAATTACAGACCCACTAAACAAGCACAAGAGTCTAGCTGCCCAAGCAGCTGCCGGCTTTCCACGCGAAGATTCCAAACCACAGCCGCTAAAGTCGGAACTTCTGAAAAAGCACTTGGCAGGAAACACACACAGATGGCTAACCAAGTTCATTATCCACTTGTAACGAAATAGAAGCCAAACAAACAAGGGAGAAGTAAAAGTGGGCAGGGTAGAGCATGGGAAAATTTACTGCCATCAGTATTAATCTGCCTGTCCAATCAACATTATGCAAAGTTCAGTGTCACTCTACACAGACGTTCAAGTGCTTTGGGAAAAAAACCATAAAATATGTGTATAAGATTAGATTCACTCTAAAGAGATGAAAGTTGGTGAATAAGGCAAAAAAGACAATTGCAACATTGTGGGCAAAATTTGGAACCCAGCCTTCTGATCTACCTGTAAGAAAAAGAGTGTGAGCAGTGTGTTAAGGTGCAGCTGCCTGGCTATGAAAAGGTGACTAACAAATTTTCCTTGATTGGTACCCACCCCCACCCTCTCTCAATGCTTCCCTGATGTTGCCTTGGCAATTTCATTATTATTCATAAGAAAAATTCACTGCATCTGAGCATCTGCCTTCAATCACAACTACATCTGGCCTTCAAGGCCACCCTCAGAGGCCAAGGGTCCCAGGGTGGGTGGGGAAGGGTGAGGTGGCCGAGTCCACAGGCTGTGCATGAGCAAGCGTTCTCCAAAACCCTGCCTGCTGAGTGATGGGGCCTCTGGGACAGCAAAGCATAAACCTCAGCAGCCTGAGTCTTGGCCACAGGTATGGTACCACATGGGACATCCAATGCCACTATAGCCAGCTTCACATTTTGTCGGGGGTTGTATAGTAGCTCTTATAATGATTCAGATCTAAGCTGAAATCGTTGGCCCAGACCTCTAAGCAAGATCTTCCTGTCAGGGGCAGACTCTGCTTGCCCTACACAATAGCTGTATCCTCTTCTTTGGTGACAGAAACACCCTCCATTAGCCCGCATTATTGTTTCCAAATATTCATTGTCTCTTCTTGGGAAAGGATTATACTTCCCCACTCATTGACTTCAGCTTGGCCATAGACCTGTTCCAGCCAATGAAATGGGATTGGAAGTGATGGATGCCACTTCTGAGCAAAACCATTAAAAGCCTGCAAGTCATCCACCGTGTTCTTTTCCCTTAGCCATGAGATTAGCGGCATTCCAAATAGAGAAGTTCCAGCAGCCTAGGTCTCAGAATGAGGTCAACATGGGGCAAGTCAGCTGACCCACCACAAGTGTATAAAAATGGGTGAAAATCAAAACTTGTTTTTGTTAGTCATTGAGATTTGGAAATTTGTTATTACCTTAGTATAACCTTGCCTATTCCCCATAATTGGCACCAGCATATATGACATTGGCTTTGGTTCTGGGAAGTGAGCAAAGAAGAAACCTTATCCTAGGCTGGAAAGATGGCAGCCCATGTTATGCAGTGATGAAAGATTAGGTGAAATAGTCACCTACAATAACTTGGAAAGCAGATAATGTCACTAAAGTGTCTATAGCTTCAAGTAAAAAACTGGGAAAATATAATGTTCATAGCAAGATTTGGTTGCTCTTGAATATAGGTAGCAAGGTATAAGAAAAAAAACTATAAAGAAAGAAAAATCAGCCCTGTTGAAAGGGAATAGAGAATGTCTAGAAGTTCAGAGACCTGCATGATTAAAAGATGCAAAAGATAAAAGATTACACTGAGTAGGCCTTTAAATGACAACAGCCAATTACAAGTCACCCTTGTGCTAAGAGCCACATCAATGGCATGGCTATAATGCTTTTTCTTGAAACATCTGAATTCATTAAGATGACCTGTAGCAAATATTTTCTTTCAGGTAAAATGGTCCAAGAAAAGGAGCTAAAGATATAGTTGTACCAAGGATAGACTCAAAATACAATTGCCTAAGTCTAGAAAGAGTGGTGCATCTCAAAAAATGTAGTTGTGGTTAAAGGCCTATGGAACTGACTGAAAACAAATTAGTACAAATATGATTTAATTTTATGAGAGTGATAATGACAAATGGCCCACCAGTTTGGATGAAAGCAGACTGTGTCATTTGAGATTTAAAACAATCTTTGTGGCTGGGCACGGTGGCTTATGCCTGTAATCCCAGCACTTTGGGAGGCCGAGGCAGGCGGATCACGGGGTCAGGTGTTTGAGACCAGCCTGGCCAACATGGTGAAACCCCGTCTCTACTAAAAATACAAAATTAGCTGGGCGTGGTGGCGGGCACCTGTAGTCCCAGCTACTCTGGAGGCTGAGGCAGGAGAATGGCGTGAACCGGGGAGGCAAAGCTTGCAGTCAGCCGAGATCGTGCCACTGCACTCTGGCCTGGGCGACAATGTGAGACTCCGTTAAAAAAAAAAAAAAAAAACCTTTGGGCTCCAACCCTCTTTGAGTAGGAAGAAGGCCTTGAGAGATTGTGCTTCAGTTCCCACGAAAAGGAATATTCTCCAATTCTCTTTCTGATTTGTCCAAGGAGGATAACTGGGGAAAGAAGGACCTCCCAGAGAATGGAGTCAATGATCAAGATGAACAATTGACTGGGGAAGCTGCTCCCAAGAAGTGAGACTAGGACCTCATCAAAGAAGACCTTCTGTCCCCAGGGCAGGGGCTCTCCATGTATCTGCTTAGTGGGACTTCAGAATCCCTATGGGTCAATAGGTGTTCTGTATATCCAGTTGTTTCTCTTTCAGATGGGGCTTTGTTGCAGATATCCTATTCCTATCCAGCAGGTATTCACCATTGCATATTGGGTTTGAGGAGTGGCTGGTAAGGGACAGCCTCCAAAGAAAGAGGAGCCATGTCTGCACCTCTTGCAAGATCCTACTAGGCACCACTCAGAGACTCTTGGACTTTGAGCTGGACAGTAACTGAATGGAATCATTGGGTTGTCTCTTTTCCAAAGGAAATGAAAGTACTCTGTATATAGGAAGAGAAGAGAATATTTGTCATCAGAAAGGCAAACTGATTGTATTGATGTTCACAAAGCTCAGTTTCCCTCCCTGGAGGAGTATTGTCCTTCCCTGCCCCATTGCTATCGGGACTGGACAAGAGATTTACCCAGCTAATAAAACGTAAATGGAGATGAGGCATGTTACTTCTGGGTAGAAGCTATAGAGCCAGCTCGTAGCTGATCCTGTTCCCTTTTCCCTCAACTACAATATCAGCCACGTTCCAGTTAGAGATGTTCTATTATTCCGGATGTCAGAGCAAAGAAACTGTAGGGCAGAGCTGCAGCCAACCCACAGCAGACATGCCCTGTGAGTGTGAGACAAGCCTTTGTTCTTGTGAGCCACTGAAATTTATGACTACGGTTTATTATGGCTTATTCTGAAGGACATACTCCCGAAATTTGTTTGGGTGGCATTGTTCCCAGTCCAAGGTAGTTCACCATGATTGGTCTATGCCAATGCTGGCAATCCCATTCTTCTTTGCCAGCTATTGGTCTAGAGTGGTCATGTGGCCCAGTTCTGGGCAACAAGCCAAGGGTAAGTGTCTGCTGGGGACTTCTGGGAAGGATTTCTTCCATGATAAAAGAAAGAAAGAGCAATACAAAAGAAGCTCCTTTACCCTTCTGTCTTAGTCTGCTCAGGCTGCCATGAGAAAAGATCACAGGCTAGGTGGTTTAAACAACACACCTTTATGTCTTCACAATTCTGGAGGCTGGAAGACCAAGATCAGGGTGCCAGCAGGTTTGCCTTCTGGTGAGGCCTCTCTCTTTGGACTGCAGACAGCACCTCCTTGCTGTATCCTCACATGGCGTTTCCTCCATGCACACACAGAGCCAGCTCTAGTGTCTTCCTCTTTTTATAAGAACACTAGTGCTATTAGATAGGGCCCCATCTCAGTGACCTCACTTAATCTTAACCACCTTTTTAAAGGCCCTTTCTTCAAACACATTCACATTGAGGGTTAAGGCTTCAATATATGAATTGTGGGGAGGGAGAGACAATTCAGTCCATAGCACCTGCCCCTTTACTTTCTCCTTGAAATGTTGTCATTTGAAGATACAATGTATGGAGCTATTGCAACCAACAGGGTTCCATGAGGGGGAACTTTGCTGAGACACAGAGGACGGCCAAGTGGCAGAATGAAGAACATTGGTCTTTGATAACAATAAGGATCCACCAAACCAACCCTGGAGCTACCATCCTCCATCCTTCTTGTCATTTATAAAATTGTTTAAGTCACTTTTTAATCATCTCCATTGGCAATATTAACACAATAATGTTATGTAACAACCAAACTCAAAATCTCAGTGTCTTACAACAACAAAAACATTCTCTAGTATGTGGGTCTGCAGGTTGGGAGGTCTCTACTGAGCCGAGCTGAGCACCTCTGCATCAGGCCACAGTCACCTGGGCAGGGCTCTAGGCTATGGTTTAGGCTTCAGGTGGTGCCACTTGCCTCCCAAATTCCTGGGACCAAGAGCTACCCACCCTGGGCTTGTTCTTATGACAAAGCAAGTCAATGGCCAAACAACCATTTTAATGGGTTGGAAAAGTATACTCCACCTGCAGTGGGGAAGGTATTGCAAAGTTAAGTGACAAAAGGTGTGGCTGTATAATCCCATAACAGGGGAGTGAAGAATTGGCACCAGTAATTTAATCTACCATTTCAGCTATTATGTTAAGCAATAGACTTTAATTTCTTCATGATTCTGGAGGCTGGAAGTCCAAGATCAAGGTGCCAGCAGGGTTGCTATTACCGGGGAGTAAAGAATTGGCACCAGTAATTTAATCTACCACTTCAGCTATTATAGTACCTACAGTGGAGAGCATCATGACTAGTTCACTATCATGTGTATGACTACTAGATGAAGCACCCTAAAGCAGAAAGGACACAGACCTTCTATTTACATAGAGCTCCTGGCTCTATTTACCCAGCTCCTGGCATTTCTAACTAAATGGCTTCAGTCCATTTATCTACATTCTCTGAGCCTTGGTTTCCTCAGCTATAAAAGAAGTTTTACAAATCAAATGAGAAAGCATTAAAAGACAGCTCGCAGAGGCCCTGGTACACAGGAGGTAAACAATAAATCTGTTTGCCTTCCATTCTTTTATTAATGGAAGCACTCAAAGTACACTTTATAGAAAAACATGGTTAGACTGACTGAGCAACTCCCTTTGTTTTCCCTCTATGTATTATTTGGAAAACCTGACTTGCTTACTTGGGCACTAGCCTCACAGAACTATTAGCAGTCAGCTATGTCTGTAATTCTTTATTTGTCTTCCAAGTATGAATGACGGGTAATGATAAGCATAAGCCCCCTAAGGAAAAAAAAGCACTGCTTAAGTGCTAGCATTTACTGAAACAAGCCACAGAAATGGCTGTTATTCCCAATCTTCCATTAAAAATATAGTGACCAACCTTGTGCAACATAGCGATACCCTGTTTCAAATGGAAGTGAGATATATATATAAAAGATATATATATTTATATATATAAAAGATATATATATTTATATATATAAAAGATATATATATTTATATATATAAAAGATATATATTATTTATATATAAAGATATATATTTATATATATAAAAGATATATATTATTTATATATATAAAAGATATATATTTATATATATGATATATATTATTTATATATATAAAAGATATATATTTATATATATGATATATATTATTTATATATAAAAGATATATATAAAAGATATATATTATTTATATATATAAAAGATATATATATAAAAGATATATATTATTTATATATATAAATGATATATATTATTTATATATAAAAGATATATATTATTTATATATAAAAGATATATATTATTTATATATATAAAAGATATACATATAAAAGATATATATTTATATATAAAAGATATATATATTTATATATAAAAGATACATATATTTATATATATAAAAGATATATATATTTTTATATATAAAATATATATTATATATATAAAAGATATATATAAATATATATATCTTTTATATATAAAAGATATATATAAATATATATATCTTTTATATATAAAAGATATATATATTTATATATATATAAAAGATATATATATATCTTTTTTGATTTCTTTAAATATGTTTCTCTCATAGCCCAGGTATAAATCTCCACAAGCAATTGCTATAGCCATTACCAGATGTCTGGACACAGTCGTTCTGATCATTTATGGACTTTATTTCAGGTGGCAAGTGGCCTCAGAGTGTCTCCTGCTCTGGAAGTGTTTGAAATGCCTGCCACCAATCTCAGGGAGTGGAGTATTCTACTTGTGAAAGTCATTCTGCTCTGACCATCCTGATAGGCAGCCCCACACACTGAGGCGTTTTGTTTTGCAGAAGGAGAGCTGCTGTGAGCAGTCTTCTTTATGTGTGCATTGTTTGCAGTAAGAGTGAGTCAAGCCACCAGTGGGTGGAGGCCAGGCTCAAGAAATTTTCACATTGCCTAGAGGCTTGTGAAAGAAAGTAACACTCCCTGCTAAAGATTTCTTTCTTCATAGTTTTAGGGCAGGAAGGAATTTTAGAGAAAGGCTAGGAACACGGAGGCCATTTCTAGAATTTTTGCTTTAGAGCCTAGCCTGTAGGTTAAATGTGTGTCAAGTGAAGATGAGAGTCTCAAAGAAGAGGCACATGAAAGAAGGTGGAAGCAGATGCATCCTAAAGCCATAGGCAGCTCATCTCCTCATGGTTGGAGGGAGGAAACCCCAGAGAACCCACCTTGAATGTTTTTAGGAGTCTCCCTTTCCATCTCATCACTGTTTCTCTGTGCGGTTGACTTCCTTCTTACACATTGACTCCTCCACATGGTTGCTAGCACCTTTATTTATCTATAATATGTATGTCCTCATTCATTCTTCAATTCAGTGAACACTTAGGGAGGGACTACTGTGTGCTAGGACTGTTCTAGGCAACAGGATGCAAAAGTGAGCTCGTACTGTCTGATCTCAAAGATGGTAGGGAGAGGGGGAGGACAAAGAGGTGACGGCCACTGGAAGGAGTGGACCATGCTCTGGGTGTTCCAGAGAGGGCGCAGTGGATGCCACCTGGGCTCTGAAGTCAGGAGGATCTGGCCCACAGTAATAGGGATACTTTCTTAGAGAAGGAGGCATTTGAGCTGGGCTTTGAAGATGGGTGTGGCGAGATGCCATGGCCAGGGGCACAGCTGCCAGAAAATGTAGCACCTGTTTAGAGAACAGCAACTAGCTCTGGTTGGCAGGGCTATGGTATGACTAGGAAAGTGAAGGACGGAAAGTGAAGGATAGTATGACTAGGAAAGTGAAGGATGGAAAGCGAAGGACAGGTAAGATGGGCCCAGAAGCGCAAAGACCCTGGAGCTCAAGCTAGAGAATTGAGAAGGTGGAGAAAAGGGAAGGTTTCTGATCAGAGGAAAGGTAGACTGCTCCAGCATCAGTTTGTAGGTTGAATACGGAGGAGGAAGATCACTTCAGATCCTATATTCCTTGCAAGAGCTCTTGGATGCCTGGATAAGAGTTAGTGGTTGTGGAAATAAAAAAAGGGGATGACACTTAGAGACATTTTCAAGGTGAATTTCCTAGAATGTGTCAATTGATGGAAGATGGCAATGACACTCACACCGGTTCTCAAATCAGCCGACAGGAGGCACTAACTGGAATGGCAGAGCCAGGAAGGGATGGTGTCCTGCGGCAGAGGCCATTAAGATTTTGGTTCAGGATAATGTGTGTGGTTTTAGCACAGTGTCTTATACACAGTAGGTGTTCAATAAACATTTGCTGAATGAGTGGACAGATGGATAAAATTGTGTTTTAAATACATATACAATTAATGCATGAAGAAAACCATACAATACAGCCAATCTTTTTAGTAAGCAAAAGAATGCAAAACACAATAACCATATTCCATTTTTTGGACAAATAACACAATTAGAATTACAGTGCTAGCCAGGATGCTATGGAAGACAGTTTCATCCACAGCTGATGGGAATGTAAATTTGGAAGGGTTTTTAGCCAGATAGATCTTATACCCTCAGACACAATAATTCACTTCTAGCAACTGGTCTTGAGAAAATAATACAAACTACAGAAAAATCTTTTGCTATAAAATGACAAAAATTTTAAACACTCCAAATAGGATGTCAAGTAAGTCTGTTAAGGTGGATCCACATTATGGAATTGTGTAGCCCCATAAAACAAAATTTTAAAAGATGAGAAGACTCTTATTTTTGTAATTATGTGAAAAATCTAGTATAAGCTTTATTAAGTTCATAGTGGCTATCTCTAGACGGTGAGATTTTAGAACATTGTTATAGGAAATGGGAAACAGAAAAGTTTAAGATGAGAAATAAGGTAAACATTTGTTTTATAATCAGAGGAAAGAAATCCATTGGATTTTCTTGTAAGAGAGTGAATTTAATTTTTAATTATTTAATTAAAAAAATAAAATTTTAATTTAGTTTTCTTGTAAGAGAGTGAATTAATTTAATCTAGCTCCTGATCTGTGTTCATGTGGACTTGTTTGACTTTGCTGGTGAAAAGGCCCCTGTATTTTTTGTTTTGTTTTGTTTTATGAGACGGAGTTTCGCTCTTTTTGCCCAGGCTGGAGTGTAATGGCGCAATCTCAGCTCACTGCAACCTCCACCTCCCAGGTCCAAGCGATTCTCCTGCCTCAGCCTCCTGAGTAGCTGGGATTACAAGTGTGCACCACCATGCCTGGCTAATTTTCATATTTTCAGTAGAGACGGGGGTCTCACCATGCTGGCCAGGCTGGTCTCGAACTCCTGACCTCAGGTCATCCGCCCGCCTCGGCTTCCCAAAGTGCTCGGATTACAGGCGTGAGCCGCTGCGCCCGGTTGTCCTCTGTGCTTTCTGAAGACTCCGTGCTGAAGAGCCAGCAGCACAGTGGCCACATCGTGTGACCCATGCTCCCTCTGCTGACTCCAGCCAGCAGTGACGATCCAGTCCCAAGCTGCTGGGTACCACATTCCAGGCCAACAGGAAGAGCTTCCCCAGGACAGCGGCCTCAGAGCTCAGGCCTGGAGAAAGCTGAGAATTATGCTAAGGAAAGAAAAGAAGACTTTTTTAAAAATAGGAGAAACAATGAGATGGGGCTTTCAGAACACAGCAAGATGTTTAGGGTGAGGTTGGCCTTGTCCTTCTGTATCCTGTGTAGTCCCCATCAGGATCCTGGGGGAGACAAGCGCCTGAGAATAGCTCATCCTCCGAGTGGAGCAGCCTGAGATAAATGCAGGCCATGCTTTCGGCAGAACCTCAGATCTTTCTCATCCTTGCCATGGCTGTGCTGGTTAATTCAGTGCTTAGACCAGGTGCAGTGGCTCATGCCTGTAAACCCAGCACTTTGGGAGGCAGTGGCAGGAGGATCACTTGAGCCCAGGAGTTCAAGACTAGCCTGGGCAGTGAGACTTCGTCTTTACAAAAAAATAAAAATAAAAAAGAAAATAAAGGAGCCAGGCATGGTGGTGCATGCCTGTGACCCCAGCTGCTCAGGAGGCTGAGGTAGGAGGATTCCTTGAGCCTGGGAGTAGTTCGAGGCTGCAGTGAGCCAGGATCACACCACTGCACTCCAGCATGGGTGATGGAATGAGAACCTGTCACAAACAAAACAAAAAAATCTGTGCTTAGACACATACTTTCCCTATAACAATGCACAGAACACCTTGCTGTCCTTTTCTCTCATGTGACTCATATCAGAGTTTATCTTCTACCCCGTATTTCCAAAAGTAATCCCAAATAGTTATTGTCTTGTATTGTGTTTGGAAATTTTACCCAATCTTTTGTGAAGTTTATAATTCACACTCTTTTTTTTTTTTTTTTTGAGACAGAGTCTCACTCTGTCACCCAGGCTGGAGTGCAGTGCCGCTATCTCGGCTCGCTGCAAGCTCCGCCTCCTGGGTTCACCCCATTCTCCTTCCTCAGCCTCCAGAGTAGCTGGGACTACAGGCGTCCGCCACCATGCCCAGCTAATTTTTTTTTTTTTTTTTTTTTTTTTTTGCATTTTTAGTAGAGACAGGGTTTCACCTGTTAGCCAGGAAGGTCTCGATCTCCTGACCTCATGATCCACCCTCCTCGGCCTCCCAAAGTGCTGGGATTACAGGCGTGAGCCACCGTGCCCGGCCTATAATTCACATTCTTAATGACCGGTTTCAGAAATAACTTTTACTTGAGGCTGGGCATGGTGGCATATGCCTGTAGTCCCAGCTACTCAGGAGGCTGAGGTGAAAAGATCGCTCAAGCCCAGTAGTTTGAGACCAATGAGCCCAGGAGTTCGAGACCAGCCTGGGCAAAAGAGCAAAACCTCATCCCCATTTTAAAAAAAGAAGAAGAAAAAGAAAAGAAAGAAAAGAAATAACTATTAATATATGTGCTGTGCTTAAAGTTTCTGACATAATCAAAGCACTCTTATGAGCCCCTGATAATTTCCACATTTGTCCTCTCCGTCCAACCACAGACTAAATTGCCATAATCATCAAAGTAAGCCCTTGGCCTTAGACCTGGGACATAAAAGAATCAGGATGGAGCCAGGAGAAACCTGGCAGTTGTCTGGAGATCCCTTAAGCATTTGTTTTTTGTTTGCATTCCAGGAAAACTGTTTCATAAAGTAAGCTCTGAACATACTCACTACAGGCTAATACTTATTTTCTCTTGATTTATGAGAAATTTAAAGAAGCTAGAGGAGGAAGAAGCTGCTAAATGTAAATGTAATGTTGGAAGGTATAATTGGGATTTAAGATATTAAATTGTTTAATTATAGGCTGCCCTAAAATGAAGTCTTTCTTGTGTTCATAGACTTTAGTTCATGACCATTAAGATTTCGGTGACATGTAGGCAAGCATGGTGGCTCACGCCTGTAATCCCAGCACTTTGGGAGGATGAGATGGGCAGATCACCTGAGATCAGGAGTTCAAGACCAGCCTGACCAACATGATGAAACCCGTCTCCACTAAAAATACAAAAATTAGCCAGGCATGATGGCATGCGTCTGTAATCCCAGCTACTCGGGAGGCTGAGGCAGGAGAATTGCTTGAACCCGGGAGGTGGAGGTTGCAGCAAGCCGAGATCGTGCCATTGCACTCCAGCCTGGGCAGCAAGAGCAGAACGCCATCTCCAAAATAAAAAAATAAGAAAAGGTTTTGGTGACACGTAAGAGATTTCTCAGCAAAGTGCAAAGACTCGGATACAAGTGTTCTCTTGCCTCCCTTATGCAATGTGTGCTGGTAAGAGTTTAACAATCGGCTCTCCAGGAGGAGACTGGGGCAAGAGGGACCCTGATTTGCAGCATTTGCCAGTTCCGCAGGGTAAGTGCTCCCACTATGGCTGGTTTCAAACTACCAGTGTGACATCACAGACTGTGTTTGGAAGGAGATACACACGATAGTCTTATGAGCCAGTATGAGTTGGCTCCAGCACACCACTGCATGCCATTAATAGATTTCTGCTGTTCTTTGGAAATTTATATCATGGTATTTATTGCTGATGAGAAGATAATGAGTTTTTGCTTAAGTTTGGGAAAGGAAAACAAATTTGAAAAATGTGCACTGAAATTGTTATGAAAAGCTCCTAATTCTTGAGTTTTTGTTGTTATTGCTGTTTTTAAAAGATTGCTTGTTTGGTCCTTCAAATGTGAGTAAAGGAAAGAAGATAAAACTACATTTCCAATATGGCTGATTTGTTTTTAATTATAAACTGACATATTTATGAAAGGTTCTATTTTAATGGAGTACTATTAGTTTGAAGGGAGAATTGCAGAATACCGTGAGATAGTTAAGGGATTTGTGAATCAAGACTAATCTGTTTTTGCTATTCTCCACTTGTGTTCATGTACACTTAACTTTGAAAAGAATGTCTTTGTTTGCTGAGAATTGAGATTTAATTCTTTTAATGTGTTTTTAAGAGTAATTTTAGCTCAGAAGAAGAAATTTTAAACCTAGGAAAATTTTAGGTTGGAATGAGGAGGGATTTCCCTTTCTTGGACATTTGGGGAAGAGTTGGAAAGAGGCGTTTTTCATTGTGCAGACACAAGATGGCGCTAAAGGAGTATAATTTAAGCATGGCTTCCTTTATTTCAAAACAGTATTTGGAAACGGGTCATCTTGAGATGCGGCGTGCATTTGAGATGCGGCGTGCATTTTGCCACATGTTGGTGGGTTTTTTGTTTGTTTGTTGTGGCTGTCATTGTTTATAAAGAGACAGCTTTAAAGGGGACCGGGTATTGAGTTGATATTAAAATATGGTAGAAAGGTATCCATATGGTCTATAAAATAAAACGGGTCAATATGATGAGGTCTTCTGGCTCTGCCTCTAGTGTTTTGGGTTTCTGTTCCTCCAAGGAAGCGCATTCATCTTGCCTGTACTTGCTTGTGGCTGCCAAAGTGTTCAGGTAGGTTTCTGCCCCAGTAAGGAAGTGTCTAAGAATCTCCTGGAAGAAGCTGGATGTGCAAGCTTTCTCTGCCTTTTGAGGGACCTCATAATTCACTTTCCAAGTACTCATCGACACCTTTTACTCTTTAATATTGCTGCCCCTTTTACTCCTGGCTGCCCACACATCTGCCTATGCGTGGACTTGTGGTGCTTTGGAATCTGTGGTTTTAATTTGTGTCCTTTGTCCTCTGGTCCTTCCCTTGTATGCACTTACATAATGGGCTGCTCTGAGGACCAATGCTTTGCCAACCCAAAGCATTTCCCCAGGAACATTCCACTGCCTTGTCTACCCTCAGCTTCCCTTTTGGCCTCTTCTCTGGGCTTAGGACCACCCACTCTTGGAATCCAAATGCTTAGGAATAAAGTAAACCTAAGATCTACTCACTATCCCCACTTAACATGTTCAACTTTTTATTTTGAAATAATTTCAGACTTAGAGAAAAGTTGCAAAAATAGTAAAAGAATTTCCATATCCACTTGGATTCTCAAATGTTAACATTTGCTTTATTCTGTCTTCTGAACCATTTGAGAACAAGCCATGGGTATAATGCTCCTTTTCCTTCACCTCGAAATATCTCAGTGTGTATTTTATAAAATCAAGGGCATTTTATTACATAACCATTGTAAACCAAAAAGTATCTGAGACTTATCTCAATCAGTTTTGAGGTTAATTTTGCCAGGGTTGAAGATGCACCTGGGAAAAAGCAACAGAAACCTGCAGGAACAATCTGTGATCCGAGCTTTTGACAAAAAGGGTCTGGGAACGTCAATAATTAAGGGGAAAGGGTGAGCAGTAGGGGAAAGAGGAAGAAAGAAAAGGGGGAGATGGTAGATAAAAGGGGCAAGCAGTTGCATTCTTTCAAGTCTTTGATCAGCGTTCACCAAATCCACATTTCATATGTGAAAGGAGGGCATAAAGGAATAGTCAATTATGTATTTGTCTCATGCTTAGTAAATCTGCACTTTACATAAAGTCAATATAAAGTAGCTACCTGTGGAGACATCTGGCCTCGGTCTGTAGCTATCTGCTTAGGAGCAAAAGGGAAAGCAATTCCTTCCAAAAGATTTATGAGCTCTGTGTCAGGAACTGGGGTCAAAGAGACCAAATATTAGAACAAAAGATGCACCTATGGCCCTTACAGCTCAGGAAATTCAAGGGCTTTAGAAGCTGTGTGCCAAGACTCAGTCAGGGGAAAAGACCAAATAAATATTTCTTATTAAGTCACAAGACCACAGGGCTATGTTATTATCATTATTTATTTTGGTGCTCACATTGTCCCAAATTTAGCAGTAGAGCCACCCTCCCTCCCACCCCCCATTATTTTTGTTTTTATTTATTTATTTATTTATTTTGAGACAGCGTTTTGCTCTGTTGCCCAGGCTGGAGTGCAATGGCGCAATCTCAGCTCACTGCAACCTCCGTCTCCCAGGTTCAAGCAATTCTCCTGCCTCAGCCTCCCAAGTAGCTGAGATTACAGACACATGCCACCATGCCTGGCTCATTTCTTTGTATTTTTAGTAGAGACAGGGTTTTACCATATTGGCCAGGCTGGTCATGAACTCCTGACCTCAAGTGATCCACCCGCCTTGGCCTCCCAAAGTGCTGGGATTACAGGCGTGAGCCACCGCGCCCAGCCTAGAGCCCCTTTTAAGCTGGGGGTTTTGTTCTTTTTACATATTCCCATCATTCTTTGAGCAATGATTTACTTTCCAGTGCAACAAGATGTCCAGGCTTATTTTGTACTATCTCAGCCCCAGCCCTGGAATCAGCCAAGTCTCCAAGGAGCAATGGTTTATCTTATGGAGGATGGTCTTTAAAAACAGAGATCTAGTGACTAATGGAATTACTCCAAGGTAGATTGCCTTCTTATTACCTGTCTTTATTCTTGTCACCAAAAGCAAACCAAATTCAGTAAGAGAAAGTTAATATTTTTACCTTAGAGCATCTATGTAACCCAAGCTGTAGAATTTCTGGTGCTTCAAAAAGCGAGGACTAAGTATCCCTTTGTTGGGCCTACCCCTGCTGACACTAAGCATGACTCTTAGCTCTGAGTGCTATATTCAGATGTTGACCCCAAACAGCTCTGGTTTGAAGGGTTTCATGCAAGATTCACCCTAATACAATATACAAGAGGCCAGGTGCAGTGGCTCACGCCTGTAATCCCAGCATTTTGGGAGGCTGAGGTGGGCAGATCACCTGAGGTCGGAGTTTCCAGACCAGCCTGGGCAACATGGTGAAATCCTGTCTCTACTAAAAATACAAAAATTAGCTGGGTATGGTGGCACACCCTTGTAATCCCAGCTACTTGGGAGGCTGAGGCACGAAAATCACTTGAACCTGGGAGATGGAGGTTGCAGTGAGCCGAGATCGCACCATTGCACTCCAGCCTGGGTGACAGAGTGAGACCCTGTCTAAAAAAAAAAAACAGGCTGGGCGCAGTGGCTCATGCCTGTCATCCCAGAACTTTGGGAGGCTGAGGCTGGTGGATCACGAGGTCAGGAGATACAGACCATCCTGGCTAACATGGTGAAACCCCGTCTCTACTAAAATTACAAAAAATTAGCCGGGCGTGGTGGTGGGCGCCTGTAATCCCAGCTACTCAGGAGGCTGAGGCAGGAGAATGGTGTGAACCCGGCAGGCGGAGCTTGCAGTGAGCCGAGATGGTGCCACTGCACTCCAGCCTGGGTGACAGAGTGAGACTCTGTCTCAAAAAAGAAAAAAAAAAAGACTATATATGTGTGTGTGTGTGTGTGTGTGTGTGTGTGTGTGTGTGTGTGTGTGTGTGTGTATATATATATAAAACCACAAGAAACTGTGAGATACACAGAAAGAGCTCATAACCTTTAAGGCCAGAGTTAATTTCATTATGCCAGGATGTGATAAAACATGGGATATCCAGACTCAATTGGGATTGCTAGTTAACACTGTGCTTTGTTTTATTTTTAAAAATCTAGACTTCGGAAGACAAAATAATAGCAATTCCAAGATACTGCTTCCTGTGTCATTTTGCAAAAACTTGAATACACTGTGGATGCTAAGTAACCGAATAGCATCCTGACTTCATGTTACCCTGATCTGTTGTTGTTGTAATGCACTTTTATCCCACCTTTCCACAGACATCAGGCAGGGACTGGAAACAAGCATTTTGTATGAAGAGTTTGTATCGTCGGATTTCCATCTCCATTGACACACAACCCCCATCCCTAACTTTTTACCTTTTAATGATCCTTTCAAATTCAGGGGTCAGCAAACTTTGGCTGGAAGTTCAACTTTGCCCCAAGGCCTGTTTGCATATCGCTGGCGGGCTATGAATGGGTTTTACAGTTTTAGAGGGTTGTAGAAGAAAGAGGAGGAGAGAGAGGAGAGGAAAAGGAGGAAGAGGGAAGAGTGACAGTGACCAGATATGGCTTACAAAGGCTCCAGCATTTACTCTCTGACCCTTTATAGAAAATGTTGGCCAATCCTGGCTCTATGTGATTCATTTAGCCATGGTGTCAGGTAAGCAGCAGCAAAATTCTTATTTCCCTTTTTAAAATGAGGAAACTGAGGCTCAGGGAGGTGAAATGACCTGTACAAGGTCACACGCTGATATTCAGAAGAACTAGAACTAGAACCAACTCTTCTGATTCAAAAAGGTCCATTTAATCTATTCATTTGCTTCTCCTTTAGTGACAAATAAGCAAATTATTTTTTTCTTTTTTTCTTTTCTTTTTTTTTTTTTACAAAACCTCTTGCACTACCTGAATATTCTTAGAGTAAGGTACTAAAAATGGAGCTAAGTTGGAGTGAATCATCTAAATCATTCTGTATTAGTTGGCTTTGCTGCAGAGGACAGATCAAGAGAGCTGGCAGGAACCCATCACACCTCTTGAAGTTTCTGCTCAGACAAGGCACATGTTAGATCCCTGTACATCAATCAGCACATCCCATGACTGAGCTCTTTCCATAAGAGAGGCAGAAATCACATGGCAGGGGTGGGGTGTGTAAGGGTAAGAGAAGGGGAGTGAATACTTGTGAGCAGTCATGCCACCTACCACACACACAAATGCTTTGCTGCCTGGGCCTTTGCACACTAGCCTCCATCTTTTCCACAGCCTTATAGGGCCTCTCAATTCATGGTGATTTTTTTTTTTTTTTTCTGAAAGCGTTCAAACAAAAATCTCTTAACTGCCACAATGTTATGAAGACATCAGGGATGAACAAACCAAATAAACCATGAAAAATCTGTCTCGTGGCAAAGCTAATTCCAAATTATAGCTAATTTGTTATTAAAAAGTTTAAAATAGCATGATGGGTCCGCCGTTGGATAGACATTTCCCATTCATAACGGTAGCATCACAAAAGCTTCCAATGCAGGGAGGCGAGTCCTTTCTTGGTCATAGGCTGAGCTGAAAGGAAAACGAAGCTCTGTTCCTTCCTTTGTGAACACTTCATCTAATCTAATCATTAGATAATTGCTCCCATGCATCCCTGGTAGAAATAATCCTGTTTTAGATGCTTATATTAGATACTTAACTATTGCACTCTGTTTTATCTGTGCCAGCTAGTATTAGGGGTGGGGAAATGAACAGGATAGTCAAAACAGCTAAAAGTAGCAGATGAGAAGCTGAAAATAGCATAGTTGCCTATTATATAACAAATAGACTTCCATCACGCAGCAATATGCACTATTTTCTTTTTCGCACACACACACTCAATTTACAGCCTCTAACACTTTTCTCCCATGGTTGAAGCTGTTTTTGGTGTGCTGCCATTGTCAGAGCACCAGCCCTGAACTGAGAAGGCCTTGCCAAGTAGAAGCCCCTTTGTGGCTTCATGGCACCTTCCACTGTGCTGGCAGGTGCATGGGGAGCTGGAGGTGCAGGCTGCAGAAGGGACAGTTCATGCTTTGCCTCCCAGAACTTGGAAAACACTGGAATTCCATTTTCTCCAGCAGTGGGCAAGGGGACCACTGCCAGAATGACATTAGGTGACCTCTCTGTGTTTCTTAGAGATAAAATTGAGGCATCTCAAATGGCATAATTTCACTCGGCTTACATTCTTATCACTACTGAATCGAAGTTGGGGTTTCCATTTTGTATGCAATGAAAATAAATGTGAAGTATCTTCTTAAGTTAAAGTATTGGGAGTCAGTGCTGACAGTGCTATAATATAAACTGCAGGACTTTTTATTGTTCTGGGAATAATAGCAATAATAGCAGATCAGCTAGCATTTGCTGGGCATCTGTGATAATTCAGAAACCGTGCTCAGCATGTCCATATATACATTTGAATCCTTTGAGAACCGCAGTTCCTCTGAGCCTCTAATGCACATTGCACTCTTTCCCCTTTGATTGCCCAGTATGGCCAAGCATTCAAGTTCAAGGCACAAAGCTGTTGTTGCCAGAAGTAGCCAAGTTACTGTGTACATCTGGGGCCATAATTACACAAAAGTACAAAAGATCACACCTGGCTTGACAGTCGTTATCAGCCTCATTTTGAGCAGCAAGAGCGTGAAGCTCAAGACAGCCCTTGGTCTCCTTCTTCTCAGCCAAGGAGGGGCAGTTGGACCTCCTTATATGAGTCACCGCCATGCCCTGCAGGACGCCTCACTGCCAGACACTCCAATCTGTTTGCAGTTCTCCACTCAGTCCTACTTAAAATTCTGATCAACTTTATTTACAATCGAGGGATCTTTTAAGCATTCACTAAATCTAGCATTTGCTAAATCTAATCAATTCTCACTAATGCCTTGAAATGTTTTTTATGTGTCTTAGTATAATTTTCAAGCAGTTTTTTAGCATTTGGTCTCTTTTGGATTCAAGCATGGGATGCGACATATTTAAAAATCTTAGGAACAAACTTTTGAGTTTTAACCATTGTTTGCAACTCTTCAATAGAAAAAAATAGCCCATGATAATTTTTTTTTCTGAGTTCTGGTCATTTTATTTTTATCAATTTGAAGATGAAAAATTACTTTTTTTTTTTTTTTTTTTTTGAGACGGAGTCTTGCTGTGTGGCCCAGGCTGGACTGCAGTGGCGCAATCTTGGCTCACTGCAAGCTCCACCTCCCGGGTTCATTCCATTCTCCTGCCTCAGCCTCCTCAGTAGCTGGGATTACAGGCGCCCGCCACCACACCCGGCTAATTTTTTTGTATTTCTTAGTAGAGACGGGGTTTCACCATGTTAGCCAGGATGGTCTCGATCTCCTGACCTCGTGATCCGCCCGCCTCGGCCTCCCAAAGTGCTGGGATTACAGGCATGAGCCACCACGCCCAGCCGAAAAATTACTTTCTTAATGCAGAGTAAATATAATATATTTTAGAAGAAAGACTTGGAAATGTCAGATGCTTAGTAAAGCTGAATAGTAATGAAAAGCATTAATAATTAAAGAAGCTTTTTTTTTCTTTTTTTCTTTTTATTATACTTTAAGTTCTAGGGTACATGTGCACAACATGCAGGTTTGTTACATATGTATACATGTGCCATGTTGGTTTGCTGCACCCATTAACTCGTCATTTACATTAAGTATATCTCCTAATGCTATCCCTCCACCATCCTCCCACCCCCTGACAGGCCCCGGTGTGTGATGTTCCCTGCCCTGTGTCCAGGTGTTCTCATTGTTCAATTCCCACCTATGAGTGAGAACATGTGGTGTTTGGTTTTCTGTCCTTATGATAGTTTGCTCAGAATGATGGTTTCCAGCTACATCCACATCGCTACAAAGGACATGAACTCATCCTTTTTTATGGCTGAATAGTATTCCATGGTGTATATGTACCACACTTTCTTAATCCAGTCTATCAATCACTGATGGACATTTGGGTTGGTTCCAAGTCTTTGCTATTGTGAATAGTGCTGCAATAAATATATGTGTGCATGTGTCTTTATAGTAACAAGATTTATAATCCTTTGGGTATGTACCCAGCAATGGGATCGCTGGGTCAAATGGTATTTCTAGTTCTAGATCCTTGAGGAATTGCCACACTGTCTTCCACAGTGGTTGAACTAGTTTACACTCCCACCAACTGTGTAAAAGCTTAATATTGACTTTAACATTATCCCTACAGTAATTAAGAATTCTGCAGGTTAATCAAAAGCATTCATGTGTTGTAATGATACATCTGAAAACTTTGACGTCTGACCAGGCATTCCGTTTCTTCTTTTTTAAATCTGTGTCTTCCACAACATGCTCACCAGAGATGAAAAGTACTTTTTAAATATATAGGCAAATAGCTATACCAATATTTGAGTAATGATTCTAGAAAATGACTTCAAATGGCATCATATTTGGGGCATTTTTTTAAAATTTTACTTTAAGTTCCAGGATACATGTGTAGAACGTGCAGGTGTGTTACATAGGTATACATGTACCATGGTGGTTTGCTGCACCTATCAACCCATCATCTAGGTTTTAAGCCCCATATGCATTAGGCATTTGTCCTAATGCTCTCCCTCCCCTTGTCCCCCATGGCCCAACAGGCCTCAGTATGTGTTGTTCCCCTCTCTGTGTCCATGTGTTCTCATTGTTCAGCTCCCATTTATGAGAACCTGTGGTGTTTGGTTTTCTGTTCCTGTGTTAGTCTGCTGAGAATGATGGCTTGCAGCTTCATCATCCACGTCCCTGCAAAGGACATGATCTCATTCTTTTTTATGGCTGTATAGTATTCCATGGTGTATACATGCCACGTTTTCTTTATGCAGTCTATCATTGATGGGCATTTGGGTTGGTTCCAAGCCTTTGCTCTTATAAATAGTGCTGCAATAAATATATATATGCTTGTATCTTTATATTAGAATGATTTATAATCCTTTGGGTACATACCCAGTAATGGGATCGCTGGGTCAAATGGTATTTCTGGTTCTAGATCCTTGAGGAATTGCCACACTCTCTTCCACAGTGGTTGAACTAATTTGTACTCCCACCAACAGTATAAAAGTGTTTCTCTTTCTCCACAGCCTCTCCAGCATCTATTGTTTCTTGATTTTTTAATAATCACCATTCTGACTGGAGTGAGAGGGTATCTCATTGTGGTTTGGATTTGCATTTCTCTAATGATCAGTGATGATGAGCTTTTTTTCATGTTTGTTGGCCACATAAATGTCTTCTTTTGAGAAGTGTCTGTTAATATCCTTTGCCCACTTTTTGATGGGGTTGTTTTTCTCTTGTAAATTTGTTTAAGCATTTTTATAGTGCAAGGTAGCACAAATAGTATTGTGCATCTGGGGCCATAACCAGTGTTAAGCATGTTTTGTTTTGTTTTGTTTTTTGAGACACAATCTTACTCTATCGCTCAGGCTGGAGTACAGTGGTGTAATCATAGCTCACTGCAGCCTCGACCTTTCAGGCTTAAGTGATCCTCCCACTTCAGTCTCCCGAGTAGCTGGGACTACAGGCGTGTGCCACCATGCCTGGTTAATTTTTTTTTTTTTGTATTTTTAGTAGAGACAGGGTTTCGCTATGTTGCCCAGGCTATTCTTGAACTCCTGGGCTCAAGACAACTGCCTGCCTCAGCCTCCCAAAGTGCTGGGATTACAGGTATCAGCCACCATGCCCAGCTGAGCATTGATTTCTAATCCAACACTTCTTGCAATGATATTCCCTTTATCTGTGAAGAGGAATTTTTAAAAATCAAGCTGATGTAAGAAAAGAATCTAAAAGCCCATCTTCAGGCCTGCAGCTCTGGGGACAAAGGGCCCTGGTGAGTAGTTTTAACAGCTGTGATTTAAGACAGCATTTGTTCTGGAAGAGACAGTTATTCATTTACTCGCCTTGGTGATTTGAGTTAGCCAAGCAACCAGCTCAGTCCCCATAATGCTCACTCCTGTGAGGTTGATATCTCAGACACACTCTCTGAAGGCAGCCATCTGTGAGTTTGATGATGTCACAGGAAACAGAGCCAGAAGCAAAGATATGATATCGTAGAGGACATGGAGCTTTCCCACTGAGAGTCTTCAGTGTTCATTTTACCAACAACTCTGAACTCTTACTGGATACCAGCCAGAGACGAATGATGTAGTGTCAATGAGCAAGAAACCACCCAAAGAGCAGTGCTCTCCTAGCCAGTTCCCAAACGCCTTCTAGGTAACTCGGTCCTGTTAAGTGGGACAGTAAAGGAGAACATTTTGTCCAAGACTCAGAATTCACAATTATTCATCAAATGCCTTCTAATCGGTATTCCCACTAAGCTTCACCCACAGCTCACATTTATACATTTTCAAAGGTGAATAGAGAAGATTTAGGGAGAAACTGTCAAGTCTGACTTTCTTCTTCCTCTTCCTCCACCAACCCAAGATCATTTTCTTCCCCTAGGGGCTGAAATAAATTATTATCATTTAGCACCATATATGTACTGAAAACAGAGACAAGGAAAACAGAGATGAGGGAGAATTCTAGGGAAAGAATGAAGCTAAAGAAACTGAATTCCAGCTGGGCACAGTGGCTCATGCCTGTAATCCCAGTGCTTTGGGAGGCTGCGGTGGGAGCGTTACTTGAGGCCAGGAGTTCAGGATCAGCCTGAGCAACATAGCAAGACCCCATCTCTACGAAAAAATTAAAAAATTATCCGAGCATGGTACTGCATACCTGTAGCCCCAGCTACTCAGGAAGCTGAGGTGGGAGGATCACTTGAGCCTAGTAGTTTGAGGTTTCAGGGAGCTATGAGCAACAGAGAAAGACTCCATCTCTTTAAAAACAAGAGAGAAATTGTGAATTCCAAGATTCACAATTCTGGTGATGGAGACTCTGTGTCTATGTGTACACGCATGTGTCCATGCATGCATTGCACACACTTGTCCTTTCTCAGCTTTCTTTTGGTTTGTAAGTGATCATCTGGTGATCTTCAAGGTGGCAGTGCCTTGTGCCAGATTCTAGGCATTGTGTTTTATAGCTTATTCTACTGAAATTTGAATAGGGGAATGTCTCAGAAAATAATCCAGTGTGGCTCCTTTGTGTCACCATCCTATCCCGCCTCATATCTAGGACACAGTGTCAAGTGATGAGACCAACACTGCTCAGTTTAGAGCCTCACACCTGAGCCAGTCACTCACGTCCCTTCTTGCTACCCCAAATTATCCTGCTTGTATCAGCCAAATTGCCCAGTTCACGCTGATATAACAAACGACCCCCGAATCTCAACAATTAACAACAACATAAGCTTGTTTCTCACTTAAGCTCCATGTCCATTTTGAATGGGCTTCCTCCCTGCGCTACATCCAGGACCCGGGCTGACGGATCATCCCCTGTCACATTTCAATGTCCAAAGCAAATCACGTGGCTGCTCTTGAGTTCACGTACTCAAGTATACTCCTCCCCCAGGAGGCGCTCTAAGTCCATGGCTGCACCTGCTGTCAGTGAGGCCGGGAGGTATAGCCCACCCCAGGCAGGGCCAGCTAATGTTTGAGCAGCCAGACAGTCCACACGTTCCTCCAGCTGTTCCCAGCTCCTGACCGGTCCGGGCTTGTGCTGACTGCCCTGTCCCTAACCCAGTCTCTGTTTCTCAATCCCCCTTCTAGAATGCCAACAAAGTTATTTTCCTAAAGAACATCTCTCTGATCACGGTGACACTTCAGAGAAATTTTTCATCCTCTGCATTGTTCACATATTATAGTCAAAATTATTTGGCACGGCACTCCCCGCCTTCTCAGCTCCGGCATATACCTGCCTCTCCATTTTCATCTTGCACCACAACCCTCGGACCCCTCGTTCCCTAGTGACTCAGAACCACTTAGCGCTGCTGGGCCGGGAGCCGTGCAGTGTGTGATGAAGAACAGTCTCTGCAGTTCTGTGCTTCCGCGCACTAGCTCTGCAATCCTGAGCAAGGAGCTCCGCCGCTCTAGGGTCACACTGTTGACTCTAAAGACATTCAAGTCCCTGGTGAATGGGGATTTTAATAGTACCCAGTTCATGAGTTGTGATGGTAGTAAATGACTGGCTGTGTGAAAAAGTTTATGTCCATTCTTTATGCTCAATAAATAGGAACTATTGTTTTCTGTTGCTGGGACTATTTTCTAACTGCATCTTTCAGATTCACGCATCTCTCTCTACCCAAGCCACTCCGTCCCCCTTGAAGCCTTCTCCTCTCCCCACCAGCCAAATCCAGCTCATCTCTACCTATTAAAGCCCTACTCATCTTTTGTTTTAGCTAAAGTTTTAATTGAAATAGTTGTAAATTCATATGTTGTTGTAAGAGGTAATACAGAGAGATCTCAGTTACCGTTACCCAGTTTCCACCAATGGTAACATCTTGCAAAACTGTAGTACCATGTGACAACCAGGATATCGACATTGATACAATCCACTGATCTGCCCCTGTTTTACATGTGTGTGTGTGTGTATTTAGTTCTACATGATTTTATTACCTATGTAGGTTTATGTATCCATCACTACAGTCAAGACCACACAGGTCCATGACCGCAGGCTCCCTCTTGCCCTTTCATAAGTGCACCCATCTTCTTCCTACCACATCACCTGCTTCTCCAACCGCTGGAAGCCACCAATGTGCTCTCCATTTCTATAATGTTTTCTTTTCTTTCTTTCTTTCTTCTTTTTTGATACAGAGTCTTGCTCTGTCACCCAGGCTGGAGTGGAGTACAGAAGCACAATCATAGCTCACTGCAGCCTTGAACTCCTGGGCTCAAGCTATCTTCCCATCTCAGCCTCCCAAATAGCTGGGACTACAGGCACGCACTACCGTGCTGGGCTAATTTTTTAATTTTTGTGTAGAGATGGGGTCTCACTATGTTGCTTAAGCTGGTCTCAAACTCTTGACCTCAAGCAATCCTCCTACCTCTGCCTCCCAAAGCACTGGGATTACAGGCATGAGCCACCCCACCCAAGCCTTCTTTGATGTTTCATTTCAGAAATGCTATATAAGTAAAATCCTACAACATGCAACTTTCTAGGCTTGGCTTTCTTCTCTCAGCATAATTCCCTGGAGAATCATCCATTTCGTGTGTATCAGTAGTTTATTCCTTTTTATTGCTGCCTACTCATCTTTTAAGGTCCTTTATGATACCTAATTGAATACTCAATGCCCCTGACTGGAATAATCAATTTTTCTGTGCTCACTTACCAATCTTTAATAACTGTCTGTGATTCACAGCTATTTAATAACCAGGTTTTATATTTGCATAACTCTTCAGGGCTTATGAAGTACTCTTGCATTCATTATTTTATCTCATCTTATGTAAATGTCTCTATCATGTCATTGCACCTATTTTGATGAAATAGACATGTACCCCCTCCCTTCGAGTTGGGGGCATCAAGTTCAATGCCTCTTACATCGTGTGCTGCCAGGAACTGCTGCATGGGTGAGATCCTTTTGTATAGAAAGCCATCTCCTGGGTGTGATTCAAGCCAGCTAAATAATGCTGTCATTCGATGCAGCTCAAGGGGCAGATGTTCCTGGCTCTAGGTAAAATAGAAATTGTAGAACAAGGAGTGTTTTTTTAATGTAAGAGAATGTCATAATAGACTGATTTAAAAGCCTCCTTTGGGAGATGATAACTAAGGTATTTCAATATGCAAGTATTACCATAATAAAAGCTGAGTATTAAAAATATGATGAGATTTTCTTTGAAGGAAATAAATTAAACACGAGTTTACATTAGAATAGATTTATAAGCATGATAATGTTCCCCTTTAGCATAAATTGGGGAAGATTATGTGTTGCCTAGGAATGCACTAGAAGAGTCAAAGTAGTATTGTTTAAAGGTCAGACAGATATATATGAACATATGCACATGACATGAATCACCAATACCTGGTGATCTCCAATGTGTATTGAAAATTATCTGTCCATTGCTCCCTCCAGAGGACAAGGACACACGCTGAGGACCTGACATTGGGTTGGGAGCCCAGGGAGAGGACTCAGAGGGGCAAGATGATTATCAGGAGTGGGAAGAGTTGGAGTTAAGTGCCGGCTGCGTCTTCAAAGTGATGCCGACAAACAGGCATTAAGACCATAAGGAAGAGTAAGATCTAGAAAGGTCATGAACTGAATATATTGAGAGACACAGTGGGAGCAGGAAGGAAGCGAGAAGGTCCAAGACACTTTCCAGAGAGCTAGTGTGTCTGGGGCATGTTTTGATTTGGCTTCCAGCTGTTTGATGCATGTGTACAGCAGGGCCATGTTTTACCCTCTGCTGTCTCTGCATCACCTGGCGAAGGACAATAGAAGATTCAGGCGCTGAAAGCCACAGTTAATGTGGAATGAGCTCTTCAGGGTGAGGCTGACCAGGGGTGAAGCAGGGCTGAAGAGTCTCTGGGTTAGAAGGTGCTGGCCAGTTGCATGCCTGCTCTGAAAGTTAGCATCTTGGACGGTGGGTGAGGGATGAGAATGAGGTGAGGAATGGCGGAGGTGGAGCATTAGGAGTGCTGAGAACTGGAAATGAGCAAAAGCAGCATCAGAGACATAGCTGAGACTGAATTCAGTGAGGGAAATGCATGAAGAGGGGATGATAGTTTGAGATCAAGTAAGAAAGGGCATTCCAGGCCAAGGAAAGAGCTTAAGAAAAGGCATGGGTATGCAAAGGCATGTTATGTCCAGGGAATTATAGTAGTTCCTTGGTGCTATGATGTAGGATCTGTGGAGAGAGAAGGAAAAGGACATATCTCTCTTTGCTTAAATTTTAAATGTCTGGAGAGCAAGCACTTTCCATCACATTTCTTTCACTCTGTCGGAAAATCGGGGACACCGCAGTAGATTCGTAACTTGGGGGCCAGGTTCTAAAGGTAATTGAGCAAGTAAAAAATCACTGTAATCAAAGTTGCTCTTGAAAAATCAATTAAATTGTCCATAAAACACAGTAAATACACATCCAGCCTTGTGGTAAATTCCACACAAACATGTTTTTGTCCAGCACTAGAAGAGATTGATTTGTCGCAGTTGAACACAGAGTGAAGTCGTTGGTTTGCATTGATGTTTATCAAGACACCATTAATAGAGAAAGAAGGCAAGCTAGAAGAAGGCAAGTAGAAGAAGATATTTAAAATACATACACCTCCAACAGGACTTAAAAACATAAATAGGCACTTTACAATAGAGGATATGCAGATGGCCAATACACATGAGAAGGTGCTCGACCTCATTGATCATCAGGGAAATACAAATTGAAGCCACAATGAGATGTGTATACCTTTACCAGAATGGTTACAATCTAAAAGAAAGTAATACTACAATAGACTCAAAAACACCAAATACCTAGCAATACATTACACAAAAAATATAGAATACTTCTTGATGAGAACTACAAAACTACAAAAGATTGCAGAAAAATATTAGAGAAGACCTAAATAAATGAAAAGATACACCATGTTTATGGTTTGGAAGACTCAACATTTAGATGTCACTTCCCCAACATTGATCCATAAAGTCAATGAAATCTCAGTCAAAATCCTGGAGGGCTTTTTAGGAGATTGACAAACAGATTCTGAATTGAATGTGGAAATACAAAAGAACTCAGACTAGCCAAGAACAAAGTTAGATAACTACATTACCAGATTCCAAAAATTATAAATTTACGCTAATTAGGACAGTGTAGTATTGGTGTTAGGATAGACAAATAGATAATAGAAAAGAATACAGCATTCATAAAAACATCCACACCTGCACTCACTTGATTTTTGACAAAGGCACCAATACAATGCAATACGGAAAGAATGTTTTTTTAATTAATGATGCTGAAACAAATGAATATCCATATGGGGGGGAACTAACCTTGACCTACACCTGACCATAAACAAAAATTAATTCT
Source organism: Homo sapiens (assembly GCF_000001405.40). Classification (NCBI taxonomy): domain Eukaryota; kingdom Metazoa; phylum Chordata; class Mammalia; order Primates; family Hominidae; genus Homo; species Homo sapiens. The sequence goes on from NC_000001.11 coordinate 234,129,914, forward strand.
AAATGATTCACAGACCTAAACATAAAAGCTAATACTATAAAACCTCCAGAGGAAAACATAAGAAAATATCTTTAATCTTCCTATGAAAGGACACAAACAGTGTAAGAAAGTAGTAAGTTGGTGTCATCAAATATAAAAACTCGAAGACACCATTTAGAAACACAAGCCATAAACTGCAAGAAAATATTTACAATGTATACATCTGATGAAGGACTTACCCAGAACACATAATTAATTCCTTCAAATTAACAATAGGAATTCAAACAAGTTGATTTTAAAATGGACCAAACAACCAAACAGGTATTTTACAAAATAAGTTATCCAAATGGCCAATAAGCATATGAAAATTTGTTCAACAATTGTTGCTATCAGGGAAATTCATACATAAATCACACTTTATACCACTACACACCCACACAGTAATTTTAATTTTTAAAAAACTCTCGGCCGGGTGCAGTGGCTCATGCCTGTAATCCCAGCACTTTGGGAGGCCGAGGCGGGCAGATCACGAGGTCAGGAGATCGAGGCCATCCTGGCTAACACGGTGAAACCCCGTCTCTAAAAAAAAAAAAAAAATTAGCCAGGCGTGGTGGCGAGCACCTGTAGTCTCAGCTACTTGGGAGGCTGAGGCAGGAGAATGGCGTGAACCCGGGAGGTGGAGCTTCCAGTGAGCCGAGAGATCGTGCCACTGCACTCCAGCCCAGGTGACAGAGAGAGAGAGACTCTGTCAAAAAAAAAAAAAGAAAGACCTCTCAGTACCAAGTGTGGGCAAGGAGGTGGAGCAAATGAAACTCTCATACACTGCTGGTAGAAGCATATATTGGCACCATCACTTTGTAAAGAAATGTTTTAAAGTGTTATTGAAATTGAATGTATTTATGCCAAACAACCCAGAAATTCCACGCCAAAGTATAAACTAATGGAAATGCATGTATATGCAGGCCAAAAATAGGTACAAAATGCATTAGTCATAATAGTTAAAACGTGGAAGCAACCAAACTGTTTTGTGACAATAGAATGGATAAAAAAAATTTATATATTCAGACACAGGAATACTATACAGGATGAAAATGAAGACGCCATTAAGTGGAACAACATAGAAAAACCTCACAAACAAAAACATATTGTACAATTTTATGTTTATAAAGTTCAAAGAGAGACAAAGCTGATCTGCGATGTTAGAAGTGGGGATATTGGTTAACTTTGGGATGAAAGAGGGAATAGTTAAGAGGGGCATGAGGGGGCTTCTGAGGTTGTGGTGATGTTCTATTTTTGCCGTGTATGCTTAAAATTTGTCGTTTTCCTGTGTGCATATTATACTGAAATAAAAAGCTTATTAATGTTGTGGTAGGATCTCCTTAGGAAAATATGGGAAATAATTAAGTGAATATTTGCATATCTATGTTTCTGTTTCTTCTCCGTAGAGGTAGCTGGGCCCTGGAATTGTAATCTGAAGGTCATAGGAAGGCTGTGGCCCTACCCAGCTTCCATGGCACATCTGGCACCAAACTCATGAGCCCCTCACCCAGCCCCCCTTCCCCCCATCCCAGTCTCAGCAGCAGCTGTCTTCCTGCTTAACATCCTTATAGAGTATTTATGTACACGGTGTTGCTGAATAACTTAAGCCAAGGTCAAAAGTAAACCGGACATGGAACTTGAGTTAAAGACTGTGATGTTCATACATCCGTCTGAGCTCACAGTTGTAGCGAGCAAGGAAGGGATTCAACATCTCTCAGCATTGATGTTAGGGAGCACGTCGTAAACAAACTAGAATCTGCAGCAAATTTAAAGATGCTGCTCACTGTGTGTCTTTCTCCTGATTGGAGTGAGGAGTCTGGAGGGGAGTAGCTTTTAATAGACCCAAAGACTAGAAAGCGTTTGGCAGGTGACTGTGTTTCTGGGAGCCAGGCGTGTATTAGCCTAATTTAGAACAGATCACTTACCACTTTTTTTAAAGAACTGTTGATGCTCAGCAAATAATAAGCGATAATAATAAGGTTCTCTTGTGAAAACAAAGATTTTGTTTATTCTAGACTATGTATAAACTTCGGGGAGTGGAGTGGAGGAGAGGCTGTGCAGTTCTTTTCCCTAGAAGCAGCTGAGATGGGAAACATCACAAATATTGCCTAACACAGAAGTCAGAAAGAAAGTAATAGGAGGTTTGGAACATCTCTTAATAGCAAATGAACTTACTTCATCTAACAAGATGGAAGTCAGATAAGATGGCTCAGGCAGTCAGATTCTCCTGCATGCTCTGTCTCTCTCTTCCCCGACCCTCACTCTCACTCCCCTTCTCTCCTTTTGAACATTTCCTCATATTATATAACATCCTGCTTCAACATGATTTGTAATTTCTGCCTCGTACATTGCTAATTTAAATTATACCATTTTGTTACATATTTAGGGGTTTTAAATACTTCATTGCTATAAGCAATGTACAATAAGCACTAGTATACATCCATAATTAGTTTCCTAAGATAATTTCTGGAAGTAGAATTGCTAAGAATATACAAAATTTCACATTTTTGGCATGTGCGGCCAAGTTTGCATCCAAAGGTTGGACTTCCTACTAGTGCATAAGCATGCTCATTTCCCTGCACTTTCAGCAGCATTGTGTATTAACATTTTATCTAATCTTTGCAGTTTGATTCAAAAGAAACATTGTGTATTGCGATTTAAATATGTAAGTTTATATAAAACTTTTTCATATTTTTGGACCATATTTTTTAATTTATGGATTAACTCTTCAAATCATTTGCTGATTTTTATTGCAGTGTTAATTTTTTATTGTTGAAATGTTAGATCTCTTTACATATTAAAAATCTATTCTGTGCTGCAAAAATGTTTATTTTGCATGGTTCTGGTAATTTTATTCATGGTGGTTTATGATTTCAATCCATGGTGTTGTATTTATAAAGAGCCTTCCCACTCCAAAATATGAACATTCCACGCAAAATTTCTAGTGGAAGCCAGAAACAGCAGCTAACAACTATTGAGTGCTGACTCTGTGCTGGACACTGTTCAAAGTGTTTAATCATTTAACACTCATAATACCTTGATGAGGTAAGCAACTATTATTGTGCCAGTTTTATAGATGAGGAAACTGTGGCACAGAGCGGTTGAGTAACTTGTCTAGGATCCAAAACTAGTAAGTAGTGAAGCTGGGATTTTAATGCAGTATGCCTGACTCTGCACATAATATTATCTCTCCTTCAGTTTTTTTCTTTTTGGTGGGGAGTGTCTTTTCAAAGAATTACAGCAAATTTCTCTTTCATTTACTTAAAGCTCATTCCAAAGTAACTAGAATAATTTGTGTAATAAGATCATTTTTCCCCAAAGAATAATTATCCTCAAGATCCATTCCACAATGAGAAAAACAATGTAAGTTTTTAAGAGACCCACAGAAATGAAATGTCTCTTAAATTCCTAGGAGAGCTTTTCTTTGATTCGTATTTAAAGGCATCTAGAGGCCTAAGTGAAGATTATCCACACTACATGGAAGACCAAGCCGTAACTGAAGAAATGCTGTCCCCTTCCAGGAGGCCTGCAGGGTCCCCAGCAGCTCATAGTCAAGTTCCCTGCAGCAGATGACCAACAGAGGCATCTGACATGGGGGTTAGTGCTGGCATCACCACTTTGGCAACTTGGAACACCTGTAATATTCTATTTTCTATACCAGGTTCTCAACACTGGCCCAGATAATCAAGAGTTAAATTTAGGAAAAAGCAAAGCATGCAGTGAACAGTGACATCAGGCATTTTAACTATGGGCAATTTTAATCAAGGTACCAAGTTAGAAATAAGATAGAGGCCATAACCCTCTTTTCTGGTGAGCTATTTATCCCTTGTAATGAGTAGTGCTAAAACTAGCGGCTTAATTATCTTTGCTCTGACCTCTCTTTGATTTTATGAATCCAGAAATCATTCAGTGCAACTCACAGAAAGAACACCTGCTATGAACAAGAGACTGTTCTAAGTAAACCCTGGGAGACACAGAGTCTTTGGTCTAATGGAAGAGGTGGATGAATATGTGACCACATGGCTCTAGTATAGAAAGACTCTGATTAGTATATGATAAATGGGGTAGAGCCAAAATAATCCATAAAGCGTATAGACCATATGTCAGAGAAGTACATGAAAATAGCAAGATAAGTTGGCTTTTTCAGATCATGGAGAGCTTTAAATGCCATCCCAAAGAGAATCATTTGTTCTTTCATTTAACAAATATTTATTTTAACCATCCATTATATAGCGATTACTATTGTAGGCACTGAAGATGTAGCAGTGAACAAAACTGACTAAGTTTCTGCTCTTGTAAAGTGTATTTTCTAATGGGAAAATTGTATATATATAATTAATTATATATTAATTGTAATTAATAATAATTATATGCAATTATATATACAAACAAATTATACAAATGTGTTAAATATTTATTACTTTATGTGTGTATATAAATATAAATTCATTCATTATGCATGTGTATTAATTTCTGGTAGATAAATGTATATTCGTGTAAATTATATAAATATCCAAATTAAATATGTATATTTAATCTATATAAAATATAGATTATATTTGTATATTATATATAATTTTTAAATAAATTTATACATAATGTTTCAGGTAACAGTACAATAAAGGAAAATAAAACTGGATAAAAGGACAGAGTTTTAGGCCTCAGTCTCAACCCTGCCTGCACATTAAAATCAACCAGAAAGGTTTGGAAAATGATGATGCCTAGGCCCCCACTCAAGAACAAGGGGATTAAAACCTTTGTAGTGGGCCCTGGCACTGGTTTTTTTGTGGGTTTTTTGGTTTGTTTTTTTGAGACAGTCTCGCTCTGTTGCCCAGGCTGGAGTGCAGTGGCGCAATCTTGGTTCACTGCAACCTCTGCCTCACAGGTTCACGCCATTCTCCTGCCTCAGCCTCCCTAGTAGCTGGCATTACAGGCATGTGCCACCACGCCCGGATAATTTTTGTATTTTTAGTAGAGACGGGGTTTAGCTTGTTGGCCAGGCTGGTCTTGAACTCCTGACCTCAGTGATCCACCTGCCTCGGCCTCCCAAAGTGCTAGGATTACAGGCCTGAGCCACCACGCCCAGCCAGCATTGGTATTTTCTAATTTGCATCCCAGGCAAGAACCAACAAGACAGAGAATGAGGACATGCATTTAAACAGGCTGATCAGGGAAGGCCTCTGTAATTGAGCAGAGACTTAAATAGAGTGAAGGAATAGGCCATACAGATAGGTGGAAAGGCTATACAGTGAACAGCTAGCCCAACATGTGGCACTTAGTTATCATGAAAGAGTGAATGATTAGTAGCACAAAGAATTGACAAGTGCTTGAGGTAATAGATACCCCATTTACCATGATGTGACTGTTATGTATTGTATGCCTGTATCAAAATATCTTATGTACCTGTAAGTATATGCACCTATTATGTACCAATAAAAATGAAAAAAATTAAAAAGAATGGATGAATGGATGCATCAGGATATGGAATAGTGTCAGAGAAGAAATTAACTGGGCACCTGCATTCAGGGTCACAAGCCCACCCCAGGTTTACTGATTGGCAAGAAGGACTCACAAGGACCCAGCATATATGGTCATACTCAGGGCTCAGATTTGTTACAGCAACAGGATACAAAGTAAAATCAGCAAAGGGAAGTCCAGAGGAAACCAGGTGCAAGTTTCCAGGAGCCCTCTTAATTGCTCCAGCGACAAGCTGGGACAACACCTGTGAAATGGTGTCTATCCAGGAAGCTCGTTAGAGGCTCAGTACTCAGGTCTTTACTGAAGCTGGTCACATAAGCGCCCTCTGCCTTGCATGAGGCATTCCAGACTCCTGAAAGGAAAGCAGGTGTTCAGCATAAACCATATTATTGAGGCAAATAGTTTAGGCATAGCTTGTCAGGGAATGGTGGGAACACCGCTGAGATCCAAGTTCACTGATGCCAGCCAAGAACCAAACTTGCAAGCAAGCCTTTTTAAGGAGGGCAGTCCCAGTCCTCCGCTGTGTTAACTCTTTTCTGCACCGTGCCATATACCAAGGGCCGGATCAAGGGCACTGGGGATGAGAATAGAAAGCAAAAAGATATACTTGAGAATTTTAACAACTGTTTATAGATATGAAAGGTGAAGAATATGAAACAGAATCTCTGGTTTTCAGAGATGTTTACAGGTTACCTCTTAGGAAGCCTTCCCTGAAACCCAAGTACAGCTTAGCTTTTCCCCATAGCACCCTCCACCCTCTTTCTTCCTTCTTCCCTCCCTTCCCTCCTTTATTTTCTTCTCTTCCCTTCCCTTCTCCTTCCTCCCTTCCTCTCTTTCTCTTTCTTTTTCTGTCTTTCTTTCTCTCTCTTTCTCTCTTCTTTATTTTTCTTTCTCCTTTCTCTCTTTCTTTTTCCTTCCTTCCCTCTTTGTTTTTTCTTTTCTTTATCCTTCCTTCCTTCTTTCTTTCTATTTCTTTTTTTTCCTAGAGACAGGGTCTCACTATGTTGCCTGGGCTGGCTGTGAACTTCTGGGCTCAAGTTATTCTTCCACCCCAGCCTCTCAAGTAGCTGGGATTACAAGCATGTACCACAGCACCCAGCTCCCTTTATCTTTCTTAATGGTGCATATTACAGTTGTAATTCACTAAACAGATATTCCCACAAATAGTTGAGTCTGGTCTCCCCAGCTAGACTATAAACTTCATAAAGTTTTTCTCAGCACATAGGCAACTTTCTTACACAAAATAACTACTCAACAAACATATAGTGAATGAATTAATGAACGCATGAGAGTATCAGGTAGAGGCTTGAGGCAAGAACCCGATTTGAGTCTGAGGTTCAGGCCAGGTGCCTATGTGCAGATGCAGGCCAGCCTGTTGACCTGCAGCAGGTGTGTGCACAGCTTAGGCTCGAACAGAGCCCAGAGTGGATCTCAGAGATCAGTCTTCCAGTGCTTTAGTTGTCATGACCCTCACCACAGGGGCCACCGCTTTGGTAGTTGATTAAAATAATGCATGTATCTCTAAGGGTTCCTTTTGTGAACCTTCTTCAGCATTCATTCTGCAAATATTTATTGGGGCCCTACTGGATTCCCGGTTTGGTACTGCCTTTTGGAGTTGATGAAATGAATTAGTAGACATGGCTCCAGCTTTAGGGACTGGAAGCACCATGAGTGAACTGGACAAGGTAACCAATCCAAATAACACAGGGCCATGTAACAGATGCATGCACACGTACCTGTCACAAAATTGGTGCTCAAGACATAGTCAATGAATGCTTTTGAATGAAGGTGTAACCTTGGGTAAAGCAGATGTTTTATAGGTTGGTGAGGAAAAGAAGCCTGCAAAGGAGGTTGAGAAAGAGCAGTCAGAGAGGTGGCAGAAAAACCAGGTGGCAGGAGGGCAATTCAGAGATCAACAGTGGGCAAGCCTGAGAGGCAAAGTGGTCAGGAATGTCAGGTGCTTTTGTGAGGCATGAGAGATAAGCATCAAAGAGCAATCATTGACTTAGCAATCCCCAGAGCATCAGTGATCATGGGAAGAGCACATAGAGCTTGTGTTGGGGGCAGAAGCCAGTCTGTGGGGGTTGAGGAAGGAATGGGAAGTAAAGGACTTAAAGAGAGCTCATGGAACGCCTCCTCAAGAACCTTGGCTTTGAATGAAAGGAAAGAGAGAGAGACACAGCTTGAGGATTTGTCAGGTAAAGGTGGAAGGAGTCAATCCTGAGTAAGAGGCATCTTCGTGTCGTTAGTTACATGCTCAGGGAAGACTTGTGGAGAGGAGAACCGAAGATGGAGCTGAAAGTATGCGTTGGAAAGAGACATCAAAGAAAGCAGGAGCACATGTCGCAGCAAGTAGCTGCAAATTAGCAGGAGAGACAGGGTCTCCACTGAAGACAGCAGCAGGAGCTGGTGGGCATGAATTTAAGTATTTAGGTGGAAGGAAAGAGAAATGGTCCCCATCTGACTGGCGAGGAAAAAGAAGGCTGGATGCGAGAGGGGTTGAAAAGGTTAGATTTGGGTTGGGGTGAGTGGGGCAGAGGGTGGTGATGGTCATTGTTTCTTTCAGTGTAAAGAATGGAAGAGAGAGAGTTAATAAGAAAGTTGCCAACAATATGGCAAGCACTTTGAAAAAAGGAGTTGAAGCATTTGCTGCTTAGATATTCTTCACAGTAAGCAGGAGTAATACCATGTCTGTGTACTTTGGAGTCAGACCTGAAGTTCAGTTTCAACATCTATCTTAAAAACAACTTTAGGTTACACTATATAACATTGCCACTTTTGTAGGTTAAAATAAATTGCATATTGTCAATTTTGTATGGCTGTATCTCTATAATACTTATCTCAGAAGTTGTGGTGAGGATTAAATAAGACAATACACCTGAAACTACATTACTTTCCCTTTCAATGGATCTTCAGTTAATACTGGGGCTTCTCGGTTTCCACCAGCCCATTCTGGCAGAGGAGGAGGAGGGTCAATGGTTCTCAGATACCTTCCAGCAAAGAAGGGGTAAATATATGCACACTCAAGACCAGCTTTTCCTCTTCCTCACTGAGAAGGACCAAGAGAAGAGGTGCTGAGGGCACAGTTTCAATTTATGTGGATTTGGCAGGGAGAGTTTATACCAAAACACACAGAATCAAGAAGTGAACTTGTTTTTGTTTTACAGACAGAGTCTTGCTCTGTCATCCAGGCTGGAGTGCAGTCATAGCTCACGGCAGCCTTGACCTCCTGTGCACAAATGATCCTCCCACCTCAGCCTTCCAAGTAGCTGTGATTATAGGTGTGCGCCACCATGCTTAGCTAATTTTTTATTTTTACTTTTATAGAGATGGGTGTCACTATGCTGCACAGGCTGGTCTTGAACTCCTGGCATCAAGTGATTCTTCCTCCTCAGCCTCCCAAAGTGTTGGAATTATACAGGCGAGAGCCACTGCCCCTGGCCTTGTTGCTTTGGAAGAAAGAATATAGCCATTGTTTAAGAGCCTTGACTCAAGCCAAACAAATCCTACTCTTCTCCGTCTTCATCTCAGTTTTGTCATCTTTCTGGTGTGATGCTACTTGTTTCTTGAGGCTGTTGTGAGGATTAAAGAGTTTTGCAAAGCATTTTTGGTAGTGACTATTTGTACAGTAAGCACTTATATACAGTACCTCTTGACTGTGGCTACTGTTGACTTTTGTTTAGGCAAAGTGGCACTGAGGTCAGACAGACTGAGGAAGACAACCTCTTTATGTCCTTCTAACAACCCTATATGATTCCCAAAGTGGCCATTTCTTCTAAGGTGGGTAAAAGTTGGTGGTCACAAGACTAAACTCTATTACTTTATTATTAGATGTAGTTGCATGTAGTTGTTCCTTTCTTGAGACATTAGGAAAAAATGTTTAAGAAATGTAGTATGTTATCACTGATATCTCTTCCAGGACATGGTGGGATAGGTGTAGAAGGCTCAAATGGACAACGCAAATTGTAGCTCCACTTCTTCCTGAAATAATACTGTAGATCCCAAAAAGATAGACACATTATACTTTTTAAAAATCCTCTAAGTAAAGGCACTCTACAATAGTCTATGAAAATGTAATATGGGACACACTTATAGTTTTTATATCGTCCTTTTACATAAAATTGTTCCTTTCCCATGCGTAAAAAAGAATACAGTCGTCCCCACTTATCCTTGGTTTCACTTTCCATGGTCAAGTTGCCCGTGGTCAAGTGCGGTCAGACAATATGACATCACTAGTCTTGTAAAATAAGGGTGACTTGGCCCGGTGCGGTGTCTCACACCTGTAATCCCAGCACTTTGGGAGGCCGAGGTGGGCGGATCATGAGGTCAGGAGTTTGAGACCATCCTGGCCAACATGGTGAAACCCCGTCTCTACTAAAAATACAAAAATTAGCCAGGCATGGTGGCACACGCCTGTAGTCCCAACTACTCAGGAGGCTGAGGCAGGAGAATCGCTTGAACCCGGGAGGCAGAGGTTGCAGTGAGCCGAGATGGTGCCCCTGCACTCCAGCCTGGCAACAGAGCGAGACTCCATCTCAAAATAATAAAATAAAATAAAATAAAATAAAATAAAATAAAATAAAATAAAATAAAGTAAGTGACTTGAACACAAGTACTGAGATACTGCAACTGTCTATCTGATAGCAGATCTGGCTACTAAGTGACTAATGGGCAGGTAGTGTATACAACATGGATATGCCGGACAAAGGGGTGATTCACATCCTGGGCAGGATGGCAGAGATCCTCTCGCACTACTCAGAACAGAGCACAATTTTAAACCTATGAGCCGTTTCTGGAATTTTTCCATTTACGTCACAATGCCTATGTTATTTATCTCATCTCATTTCATCTCATCACGCAGGCATTTAATCATCTCGCATCATCACATGGAAGAAGGGTGAGTACAGTACAATTAGATATTTTGAGAGAGAGAATATATTCACATAAATTTTATTATAGGATATTATTATATTTGTTCTATTTTACTATTAGTTCTTGTTAATCTCTCTCTGTGCCTAGTGAATAAATTAAACTTTATTATAGGTAAGTATGTATGTGGGAAAAAAACATAGTAGTTGCAGGATTCGGTACTGGCCAGTTTCACCCATCCAGTGGGGGGTCTTGGAACATATCCCCATAGATAAGGGTGTCTACTGTAGTGGAATGATATCCTCTGATCTGCTTCTCCCCATTCAATCTAGACGCTTAGGCTTCGGTAAATCACACAAAAGTTCAGAAACGGCAGACGAACACTCAGGGGGATGCTCATAATAAAAATTCGGCAATGGAAACTATGCGATGTATTGTCTTACTCACCCCTCCTTTGTATATCTCGAAGTCAGGTTCAAGGCAAGCTACGGAACCTCCTTGCTCATTTAAAAAATAAAAAGAGGCTGACCCTGTTTATCTCACAGGCCTACCCTGGTAAATTTTGCCCAAATGAAATTCAATTTAAGCCTCAAGTTGCCAAGGAGTCACCATTCTCCTGGGTTGGCAAAAGGGTTTACTTATAGAATCCTTGATGTGTATGCTTGAAAATTTCAAAGAGAGAAGAATGACAAGGGTCATGGCAGCTGTTAATTGGACTAGATTACATTTATCATTAGGCATTTTCCACAGGGTATCAATCTAATTATGGAGCGACCATGTAGTGGAACAAAGATCATTTTTCAAAGCAGTCACTGAGGATGGGCCCTGCAGAATGACAGTCAGCCTCTTCTTGTTTGACATGCAGATGGTGTCCTCCCTGGCATTTTTATTGGGTAATATATTACCATAAGAAGGTCTATGATAAGTGAAAAAGTAAAACTTGGGATAATTAGGGAGTTTTATAAGCTAATGAGTCATGTCCTTTCAATAGCTTCTTGGAATGTTCAGTATGGCTCCAGCTCTACATGGTGCATGTGGAGACCCGGGCCCTAGACCCTGCCCCTCACAGGTCCTGCATGGTGAACAACTCCCCTTTCTCCCCCTTTTTTAAAACTTTACTAAGGGTTAATTGGTATACAAAAAGTTTCACATATTTCGTACATACTTCTTGATGAGTTTGGATATATACATACACCTGTATGTAGACATCACCACAATCAAGGTACTAAACATGTCCACCACCTCCAAAAATTTCCTTGTGTTCTTTTGCGCATTTTGTTTTGTGCTAAGAACACTTAGTCTGATATCTATCCTCCTAACGGTGGCTTTACATTGCCTTTTCAGAGAAATTCCAAGCTACTTCACAAAGGCCTCCTGGTCTACTCAGCCCACCATGTTAGCTTATCTTTGGAGAACTCGCTTCAGCTCACATCAGAGTTCTGCCCATCGGACCACTTGCTAAGTCCTCTCTACCTCCCACACCTTTGCCCATGTTAAACCTTTTGCCTAAAATACTCCTCTGGCTCCTTCTGTATGCCCTTAGCCCTAACTCTTTTGCTTAGATAACACCTACTCATCCTAGGATCTTTTCCTCAAGGCAGCCAGCCCTCCTCACTCATGCCATCCACTGAGAGCACCCAAAGTGCCTTACTGACATATCACTTATTTCACTGTATTGTAATTATCCTTTGTCCCCCATTAGATGCAGCGAAGCGTGCATCTCTCTTCTTCACCACTGTCTCCCCCTCTGCCTGGTAGATGGTAGCCCCTTGGTAAATATTTATTAAATGAAAGAAGGAAGATCATCGAAAGACTAAGCTCATGCTACTAGAAGGCAGAGTAAAGAGAGGATTACAACCTAGGACATGGTTCTGAGTGCGTGCAAGGGGCGTAGGAGGACATCAACATGACATCGCACTTAACACTTCTGTTCTTGCAGAATTCATTTAAAGTAGGAACTGTTTGCAGGGAGAATAATAAATAAAGCTTACGAAAAAAAAGATGTTTAGACCATGGAACTAATCAGTGGACTCTTGGACTCTTTGCACTAAAGGTTGGCTTCCCCAGGCTCTGGTGAGATGCTGTTCATGAACAAGAAAGGAGCTCATGCCCACGGCCCTGAGCAGCCTGGGAGACTAGGAATAGAGCCGTTTTGTCCACTGCGGTGGAGAGGGCTGCTGCAGTGAATGACTGAGACCTCTGGAAAGGGTTTCGGGGTGCAGAGCAGCCTGTTGGAATTAGACGTTATGCTTGCTCAAAAAAAGGAGTTTCATTTTCATTAAATGGAAATATTTACTGCCCAGGGGCATTTGGTGAAAAACAGTTTGGTATTGGGAAGTGGGGTCAGGCTCTGTGCCTTTGATAAAACTCATGCCAGCCTCAAAAAAAAAACGCATGATGTGTCGCTATATGGGGGGACCCTATGGTTGGAGGTCTTACAAATCCAATGGGGCCAGTGTATTAAATATGGCCCTTTTCCCATAGAGTTGGTCATCATGATGTTTACCATGTTTCAGATTCAAGGTATCTGATCTCACCAGGGTCACATGGCCAAATATGTAACTCTCATTAAAAGATTGAGTTATATAGTCAGTATGGGGAAATCTCTATTCACTCTGGTGAACTGTGACATATTTTATTTATCATTTTTAATTATATATATTTAAGGTGTACAACATGATGTTTTGATATGCATATACATAGTGAAATGATTATTACAGTCAAGCAAATTAACATATCCGTCACCTCACTCAGTTACCTTTTCTTATGGTCAGAGCACCTAAAATCTGCTTTCTTAGAACCTGTTCGGTATAGGCACAATATTATTAACTTATCATCCTCATGCTGTACTTTAGACCTCTAGATTTCTTCATCCTATCTAACTGCAACTCTGTACCCTTTAAGCTACGTCCCTACTCTTTGTACCCTTTGTCCCTACTCTCCCTGACTCTACCTCTGGGAACCACTGTTCTCTCTGCTTCTATGAGTTTGACTCTTTTCTTTTCTTTTCTTTTTTTTTTTTTTTTTGAGATAAAGGCTCACTCTTGTGGCCCAGGCTGGAGTGCAGTGGCGTGATTTTGGCTCATTGCAATCTCCGCCTTCCAGGTTCAAGCGATTCTCCTGCCTCAGCCTCCCAAGTAGCTGGGATTATAGGTGCACACCATCATGCCCGGCTAATTTTTTGTATTTTTAGTAGAGACGGGGATTCACCAAATTGGCCAGGCTGGTCTGAACTCCTGACCTCAGGTGATCCACCTGCCTCGGCCATCCCTCGGACTGCTGGGATTACAGACATGAGCCACCACGCCCAGCCAAATTTGACTCTTTTTGATTCCATGTATAAGTGACAACATCTGGTATTTGCTGTTCTGTGCCTGGCTTATTTCACTTAGCACAATGTCCTCCAGGTTTATCCATGTTGACATGGATGGCATAAGAAAAGGTCATGTATTTATGACACAATTTCCTTATCCATTCATCATGTATTGATAAACATTTAGGTTTATTCCGTATCTTGGCTATTGTAAATGATGTTGCAATGAACATGGGGGTTGCAGACATTGCTATGAGTTGCTGACTTCATTTCCTTTAGGATAAATACCCAGAAGTGGGATGGCTGGGTCATATGATGGAGGGATCTCTTGTTTACAGGGGTCACAGGGTAACTTGAGCAGTGCCCCTAGGGATATAGGAATGGCTTAGCAGCTCAGTCTAAGGTAGCCAAGAGAGCACAAGAAAGAAGGTGTCCCACTGCCTGCCACTGCGCAGTGAAGGATGAATGCTGGTACTCCAGGGAAAGAGATTCTGAAAAGTGAGACGGGGTGTAGCAGGGGAGATGGCACCACGCAGTGTGAAGCACATGCCCATTCTTGAATGAAGCTATAAGCTTCCTGTGTACTAAATACCTCTCCCAGTGCTTCTCAGTTCTAACACCCTGCACAGGAAACACAGAGATGCTCCATAGTTGCCTGTTGAGTGTCGGTGCTCTTGGGATGTGCAGGGCTGACTGCAGGGTGTCCTCAGTTTCCAAGGGCAGGTGCAGGATGCAGTTGTAAATGCAAGGGGGTTAGGGAACATCTCTAAAGCCACTAATAAACACACAACTCCTTCGAAGAAAAGGTCCTTCATGACTTCTCATGATGGAATGGTGGTTCCATTTGGTAATTCTTTGCAGCATATTATTTCTACCTCTCACTGATGGCTTTCATCATTGAATCCTCCAGCCATGTGTGTCTTTGCTGTTTGTTTTTAGGTGAGTATTTATGGTCTATGGGTTGTTCAGACATATATTTTTATTTAGAAGCGAAATTAGCACCTGCTAGGCAACTATTTTAAATCTTGTAATTCTTGTAGCAGTTAAACAGATTTTTTTTCTTTCATGAGTTTCTGATTCACTTAATAAATATCTACTAAGATACTTTGCTAGACTGTGGGGATACAGAGATGAATAAATCAGGGCCCCCTTTCTCATGGACTTAGAGTCTAATGGATGAGACTCGTGTGAAAACAAATAAATATTGTGCGGGGTGATAAGTATAAGGATAGAGGGGTGTCCAATAGACAGTATGATGAAGTTGCACAGAGAACAGAGATGGTCAGCCAAGAGGACAAGGAATACGTGGTGTGGGAGCAGGGAGAGGAGTGTGCCAGCTGTAGGAAATAGCATGTGTAGTGCTGTGTCATTCTCTTGATAATAATCATCTTCTCCGCAGCACTGATCTTTCTGTGTGATATTCACTGTGTTCTTTTTGAACAATTGTAGTATCCTCCAGGTTAACAAAGGAAATATTAAACAGCGCAAGGCTCAGGACTAACTTTCATCACAGCAGCCCTGAGGGTTTTCACTGTATCCTGAGGAAATTCCTTGGAACCTCAGGGTGATACCAGTTTTGAAGTTTTTACCGCACTGTCCCGCTGTGAGTGGTACTGCATTATAATAGACTCTTCTAGTACTTTCAGGAACAAAATCCACTTTGGATGTCATCCTAGTCTCATATTGAAGTGAGTTTTGACCTAACTGGATCATGCTATTGGGGGAAGCTCTGGAGTATTTTGAATTTAACTAGTCATCCAACACAGTCTTCAGATCTTTAGTATATCTGCTTCTTTTTTTCTGCTTGATCAGTTTCTGAAAAAGCTATTTTAATATCCATCTTCAGTTAGGAATCTTTTTTCTCCCTGTGGTTCAGTCTATTGCTTCTCTTCATTTTCTGAGGCTGAGTTGTTAGAGACATGCAGTCAGTACTCCATATCCATGAGCCGTGGACTCCAACAACCACGGATCAAAAATATTCGGGAAAAAAATGATGGTTGTCTCTATATTGAACCTGTATAGACTTTTTTTTCTTGTCATTATTCCCTAAACAATACAGTACAACATTTACACTGTATTAGGTATTATAAGTAATCTAGAGATTATTTACAGTATACAGAAGATATGCATGGGTTATATGCAAATACTACACCATTTTATACCGGGGCTAGAGCATCTGTGATTTTGGTATCCTCAGTGGGTCCTGGAACCAATCCCCCAGGGATACCATGGGACAAGTGTATATGTTTATGACGATCATATCATCTTTCTCTTTTTTCCTTTATTATGTATACTGTCCTTTCTTTGTATTTATGATCATTGTATCTTGTCACCTATTAAGATTATACCCCAGCTTTCTAACTGTATTTGCATGCGGAATCTTTTTCAACTTTTAACTTTCAACCTTTTTACATCATTTTTGTTTTAATTGAACCTCTTTATAAACAACATGTAGGTGGATCTTTTTTTCTTCTTTTTAATCTGGTAATTTCTAGAGGTTTAAAATTTAATCATTTTAATTACTGGTGGCAACTGTAATTTTATAACTGGTTTCTGCAATTTTGTTTTCTATTTTTCATTTAATGTATTTTTTGTCTCTCCTGAATTCCACTGCATAAATTTTCTTCATGTTCTTCTGATGGAATAATATAACTATCACTAAACTTAGAATCTCCATTCATTCTTTAAACTTATCAATATCTGTCTCTCTCACCTCACAAGACAAATATTTTAGCATGTTCTGACATCCCTTCAGTCTCTCCTATCCAGCTTCATTTCCATGATATTACTATTGCCTAATTTTTAGTTTTTAATTTTTATGGATACACTTTCTTTTCTTTGAGCCTAGCCATTTTTTAATCTAAAATAAAAGTTACCAAGATATTTGCTCTTTTTTTTTTTTTTTTTTTTTTTTCTGGAGACGGAGTTTCGCTCTTGTTGCCCAGGCTGGAATGCAATGGTGTGATCTCTGCTCACTGCAACCTCCACCTCCCACTCACTGCAACCTCCACCTCCCGGGTTCAAGTGATTCTCCTGCCTCAGCCTCCCAAGTAGCTGGGATTACAGGCATGTGCCACCACGCCTGGCTAATTTTGTATTTTTAGTAGAGACGGGGTTTCTCCATGTTTGTCAGGCTGGTCTCCAGCTCCCGACTTCAGGTAATCCACCCGCCTCGGCCTCCCAAAGTGCTGGGATTACAGGCATGAGCCACCGTGCCCGGCCTCATCTTTCTTTCCATATGTCTTTCAGTATCAATATGATTTTTCTGCTCTTTTTAATGAAGACTTTTTTCTATGTGTTTTGGTGTCTTAGTGTGAAAAAACTGAGATCTTGTGGATGAGAGGTTTGCTTCAGATTCAGATGACAGTTTAGCTGAGTATAAAATTATAGGTTCAAAGATATTGGAAAATCTTATTTCACTGTCTTTTTTTACACCCAGTGCTGCTACTGTGACTCCTGATATCATTTCATTCTAGTTCCTTGGTGAGTAATCTGCTTTCTTTCTGAAGAGACTTTAGAATTTTCACTTTGTCTTTAATGTTGGTAAGTTTTACTGTATTAAAGGATGGACTTACCTTATCTCTCCTATTTGACACCCTTTAATTCTGGGAAATTACATAGTTTGCCCTTTCTATTTTCTTTTTTTTTTTTTTTTGTCCTGTTGGAAATCATAGTGTAAAATATTGGTAATTCTTCTCTCCCTCACATCTCTTAGCTTTCTTTTATATTTTCTGCATCCAACTTGCTGTTTATCCAATTTACTGTGTTTTTTGTTTCACCTGTTATTGTATCATATGTAATATTTGTACATAATTCTTTATGTTTCATATTATTGCTTCATATTTATCTTTTTAAGTAGAGTTATACTTATTTTAAATCTTTTTGTGCTTCTGTTGTAATATCTCTGCTTTGGATGGTTCTGTTTTTTGTCTTTCATTTATAGCATGTGTACTCCTCAGTTATGAAGTTATTTTGACCTGTAAGCTCATGTTTCTTTGGGAGAATCGGTTACTCTGGTAATTTTTTGGATAAAGGGCCAAAAGTCAGCTTAGTACCGGAGAATTTCAGGATCAGGTTGAGGAATAAACTCTGAGGGCAGCCAGGAGCCTGTGCATCAGAAGACCCACTTTTGGTCCCTACCACTCTCCTGCTCAGGTTTTTACTTTCAGACCCTTAGAGGCGTGGTTTTCAAGCTTCATTGTGAATCTGAATGACCGGAGAGCTTATTACAGTACAGAGTGCTGGGTTCCACCCCCAGAGTCTCTTGAGTGGCTTGTTCAGGATGGACCTGGTGATTGGCATCTCTAACAAGTCCACCGGTGATGCAGATGCTGTTGGTCTTGGGACCACATTTTGAGAAATGCTGCCTTAGGGAGGGCCACAGTGGGAGGAGTCAGGTTCCCTGAACTGTAACTCACTGATTATAACGGCAAGAAGGGGAGAGAAAGAGAGAGTGATTGTCCAAGGAGGGGCTGATCAGCACTCACTGGTCTTCAAAGATTCACCCCGGCAAGGTTTGGCACTGCCAAGTTATCCCTTCCTGTACACACCTGGGGCTGGGCTCTTCCTGCAGACCTCCAGGTGGAAGATATCTGCCTAAGACATGAAGCGAAAAGGCAAGAGCAGGGAGAGCTTTCCTCTGACCTCCTTCACTTTGTCTACAGCTGTCTTCTTGATGCTTATCCACACGCACTCAAGATGGACTTCAGACTTTTCAGCCATTTCTCACTGCTTTGTTTTCATTTTCATTTTTTCACTTCTTTACCTTTATTCTTCCAGAGCTGTTTTGCAGGGAAAGAGCAACAGTCTATGCTAGCTCACTAGCTTGAACTCTGAAGCTGTCATTATGAAACCCTGTTCAACAGTTTCCTCTTGATGTTAAACTAGAGACAGAAAATCTATACCTCAAAAGGACAGGAGGAGAATGGCATATCACATCTAGAGAGGCAGGGAGAGCCACGTCATGCTGGGCTCTGTAGGATGGGAGGGAATTTTTACAACAGTGTATCATGAAACACTGATGATTTATTTAGAAAAGAGACATCACTCGATTTACATTTTAAGATCACTCTGGCTGCTTTACAAAGTATAGATGGTGGTTTGACAAAAACGAAAGCAGGGAGACCAGTTATAAATTATCTAAGCAGGTGATTTGAACTAAGATGGTGGCAATGGAGATGGGGAGAAGTGAATGGATTAAAGATATTGCTTGGAGATAGATATGACAGAATGTACTGATGAACTGGATATGAGGGAAGAGGAAAAAAAAGAAATTGACTCCTAGGTTTTTAGCTTGAGCAACTGGATGGAGACTGGTGCCATTTCCTGTGATGGGAAAACATGTAGGGGCATGAGGTGGGGGCAGGGGATGGAATGGGAGCAGAGATTAATGGTTCTATTTAGTATATGTGAAGTTTAAGACTTAGTCATCCAAGTGAAGATGTCAAATCAGTGGTTGGCTCTACTGGAGCACACAGGAGAGTGCAGGTGGGAACACACATGTAGGAGTCATTGGCACATAAATGAATGAAATCAATGACGGAATCTGTGTGGATGGAAAAGGGGAGAACCAAGTCCTGACACAGGGTTCCCTCTCTGCTGTTTGAGTGAAGATGGAACATTACAGGGCCCCTTGGGGACATAAAATACCCATGGGGGACATTGTGAACAGGATTTCAACATGAGGTAGGAAATTAGACAAAGTGACTTCCCAGTCCTGAGCTTCTAAATTTCTTTCTTCCCAAAGTCCAATCTGGATGCGTAATCTTTCTCACAGCGCCCACATTTTTAGTTATTGTGAGTCACTAAAGAGTTAGTAATGGTTTTAGAGCATGGTGATGTGCCTGCTGACTGTTTGGGGATATTCCAAGTGGCTGTGATACTGTAACTATGACATTTACATGAATGACTTCAACGCAGTCCTGTGGTCCCTAGAATACCCTAACAGCTGTACTCCTATCCATCAGTTCATCCCTGATGGCTTCCTCCATGAACCAAAGAGAGGCATCCCTAATCCTATGAATTCCTGGACATCTGTTTCATATGCTCTTTTCTTCCTGCCCTTAAAAAACGCCCTGAGAGCTATGTTTCATGTTTGATATTTTCAAAAGAATATAAGCTGTCTCAGATCATTGGCCAAATCCTGTGGAATCAGGAGCATGCTTTTCTTGTGACTACATATTACTTTTAATTTTTCTATTGGAAGTCAGTTCAATAGAGAGAAACATGCCAAAAATGTAAATAAGAAAATGCTTTGCCATTCAAAATGTATTTAACTGCCCAGAACAGTCCAATCTCAGGCCAACCCAACGGTACCTGGAAACCAGATCCTTCCAGCAGGGCTGGTGATTAATGTGCTACAGGATGCATTTTGTGCTTTCTCCAGAGAGGTTCCTCATGTTGATCCCTTGCCATAGAAAGGTGCAAATCACCAGTGATTCCCACACATCCTTATCCCATAGACTTTGGCTCCAACCAGCAAGCAAAGCTGCCTTCTGAGAATTTTTGCTCATCCAATCCTACTACTCAAAATGAAAACTTCTAGGAAACTAGATTTATCCTCTAAAGGTTCAGCTAATTGTCCGCATTTAAATTGTGCTCAAATGGAAGCGGTAATTCTCTACACTTGCTGAGGCAGAATATGTATGAATGTAAACTCACTGTAAATAAAGCAACCAATTTCCTTGAGCTTCTTAAGGAGAAGACTAATTTGGTGACCCAAATTGTGAGGAAGAGTGTTGTTGGTTTGAAGACCTCGGAGTAGGAAGGCCTGGTGACTGTGTCTTTCTCTGGGCCTTTTTATTTCCAGCCGATGCTACACCATCATCTTATACATTTTTGTCAGGTCTGTGTGTCTGTACCTTTTCTAATTCTGTGCTAAGTATATTTAAGTAATCTCCATGTAATGCTAACATTTTTAAAAAATGTTTGTTCCCTTTACTTTTCATCCCTTATCTTACCTCTCATATCTTATCTCATTGGATAAGCTCATCAAAATAGATCCCATGTCTGCTATGCTACAGTCTACCTCTGGCTGCCGAAAGGTCAGACAGGTATGGAGAGGATTCTGGGACGATGGTAGCAGAGGCAGTGTCGTTTTTCCATTCTGTCTATATTCCTACATTAAAATAAAGCAACTAAATAGCAAAGACAAAAGCCCAGGAACATTTGTAACAAAACCCGATGAAAATATATTCCCGGCACCCCAGAATACAGACCACCAGCAAGCCACAGGGCCTGCCTGGTGTCTGTGGGGGAAAGAAAGAAGCAATGATGGACCCAGTGTTGGCAGTGACTGAGGGAACTGAGAACAAAAGGACCCAAAATTGCCATCAGGAATTCCCAGGAAAGAACAGAGTACTTTAAGAAGCACGCTAAAACTGGATGGGGTTCTGCTGACTCCAATACCAGGTCAGTGTAAGAGGCTCAGGGCAAGAAGGACTGAAGGATCCAGAGCCTTCGAGCCCTATGGACACTAGAAACTGGCCCAGCAGAGCTCCCTCCTGGGATGGGGCCCACACTGAGGAGGGGCTGCTGGGATGAGGTCAGAATTGAGCAGGATGGGGACAAACAGAAAGGAAGAAAAAATAAATTCCAGACCAAAGCCAGGGAGGGAGATAGAGCCAGGAAATCCCAGAAAGCAAGCTGCCATTTACATAAACTATCAGAAAAAAAAAAACAGAAGAGGAAGCTCAGTGGAGCTAGCATGACTTTCCTGAGCCCCATCTCATTCAAAAAGTTTAGAAAAATCAATTTCACAGGAAAATGAGCATGAGAAAAATATTAAAGTAAAATCCCAGGCTAAGTTATTATAAGAAAAAGGAACCCAAGGGGCAGAATAAAAACTCTACACAATGAAAGTGTGACGGAAAAATGTGCCCACAAATTGAACAAAACTGAAACCTGGCATTTCAAAATGGTAGAAAATTATATAAGATGTGAAAAAAAAAACCATAAACCAGAATTAGCAAAACTCAGAAATGAGGAAAGAGTTCAAAATAAAAGAAAAAGTCATTTCAAAAATTAAGATTAAACTAGAAGAAACTCAAGAGCATATAAACGTAGCGTCGTGCCTTAAGAGAAATAAAAGGTAAAAAGGATTCTAAAAGTTAAAAGAAATGAAATGATTTTTACAAAGTGAGAGAAACTGACAAATATTGAAGATGGGCAAAAAGATCAAACATACAGCTCATAGTAGTTCCTTACAGGATTAAAAACCCCACAAAATCCAAAGCAATGGAACAAAACAAATACTGAAAACTATAATTCAAGAAAACTTTCCAGAAATAAAGAAAAATTGAAATTGCATATTTAAAGAGCATTTTATACCTTAAGGGATTTCTGTTTGCCGTATGGTTGATCGTTTTGCCCACCTTCAATATTTGTCACCTTCTCTCCCTTTTTTTTTATCATTTCATTTCATTTTAACTTTTAGAATATCTGAGAATAATAACCCCCAAATGACCAAGACCCAGATATTTTCTTGTAAAGTTATGGGAGTTTAGAGAAAAGAAAAAAATTTATTTGACACATAGGAAAAAAAAGTGTATATGATTTTTTTAAATGAAAGAAAAAAGATAATCAATTTTTTGACAGCAGTGCTAAAAGAAAATGGAGTAACATTATTATTATTATTGTTATTATTATTATTATTATTATTATACTTTAAATTCTGGGATACATGTGCAGAACGTGCAGGTTTGTTACATAGGAATACACGTGCCATGGTGGTTTGCTGCACTCATTAACCCGTCATCTACGTTAGGTATTTCTCCTAATGCTATCTCTCCCCTAGCCTCCCATCCACTGACAGGCCCCGGTGTTCCCCTCCCTGTGTCCATGTGTTCTCATTGTTCACCTCCCACCTATGAGTGAGAACATGCAGTGTTTGGTTTTCTGTTCCTGTGTTAGCTTGCTGAGAATGATGGTTTCCAGCTTCATCCATGTCCCTGCAAAGGACATGAACTCATCCTTTTTTATGATTGCATAGTATTCCGTGGTGTATATATGCCACATTTTCTTTATCCATTCTATCATTGATGGGCATTTGGGTTGGTTCCAAGTCTTTGCTATTGTGAACAGTGCTGCAATAAATATACGTGTGCATGTGTCTTTATAGTAGAATGATTTATAATCCTTTGGGTATATACCCAGTAATGGGATTGCTGGGTAAAATGGTATTTCTGGTTCTAGATCCTTGAAAAATCGCCACACTGTCTTCCACAATAGTTGAACTAATTTATACTCCCACCAACAATGTAAAAGCGTTTCTATTTATCCACATCCTCTCCAGCATCTGTTGCTTCCTGACTTTTTAATGATCCCCACTCTAACTGGCGTGAGATGGTGTCTCATTGTGGCTTTGATTTGCATTTCTCTAATGACCAGTGATGATGAACTTTTTTTCATATGTATGTTGGCAACATAAAATTTCATGTTTGTTGGTCTTCTTTTGAGAAGAGTCTGTTTAACCTGCTCAAGTAAAGGAAGTGTCATCCTAGGATTTTATATCAAGTCTAAAGGACATCCACTCTTATCAACATGCAAAAACTCAAGGAATATTGTTCTCATGAACACTTCCTAAAGAATCTTCTGGAAACCAAGCTTCAGACAATCACATGACTAGAGAGACCCTAATAGTAAGAACTGGTGTGGAGCATTACAGTAAGTGGGGCAGGCTCAGACAGTATAGTGTATCTGTGCTCTCACAATATAGATACAGCCCAGTGATAAAAATGGAGGAACAGGTGGCTCATGCCTATAATTCCAGCACTTAGGGAGGCCAAGTTGGGAGGACTGTTTGAGGCCAGGAGTTCAAGACCAGCCTGGGCAACATAGCGAGACTCTCATCTCTACAAATAATAATAAAATAAAATACAAATGGGGGAAGAACAAGGAAAGCACATACCAAAATATGTTAATGCTTTCAGTTATCATGTAGGTGGTAGTATTAGGGGTGTTATTCAGAGGCTGTTGAGTAACATAAAACAAATGAGCAATTATGATATACTGTATTTTAGTTGTTTTCCTGGTGTCTTTGAAAACTCACATTCTGGCTGGGCACAATGGCTCACACCTGTAATCCCAGGATTTTGGGAGGCAGAGGTGGGCAGATCACTTGAGCCTAGGAGTTTGATACCAGCCATGGGCAACATGGCAAAACCCCATCTCCACTAAAAATACAAAAACTAGCTGGGTGGGGGCCGGACGCAGTGGCTCACGCCTGTAATCCCAGCACTTTGGGAGGCTGAGGCGGGCGGATCACGAGGTCAGGAGATCGAGACCATGCTGGCTAACCCCGTCTCTACTAAAAATACAAAAAATTAGCCGGGCATGGCGGCAGGCGCCTGTAGTCCCAGGTACTCGGGAGGCTGAGGCAGGAGAAGGCGTGAACCCAGGAGACGGAGCTTGCAGTGAGCCGAGATCACACCACTGCACTCCAGCCTGGGCAACAGAGCGAGACTCCGTCTCAAAAAAAAAAACAAAAAACAAAAAACTAGCTGGGTGGGGTGGTATATGCCTGTAGTCCCAGCTACTTAGGAGGCTGAGGTGGGAGAAGTAAAGCAGAAAGTGACAAATGAGCTCAGGAAGTAGAAGCTGCAGTGAGCTGTGATTACGCCACAGCACTCCAGCCGGAGCGATAGAGTGAGACCCTGTCTCAAAAAAAGAAAAGAAAACTCACATTCACAGGGCACAGGAAAGGAGCTCAGATGTAATGGGGGAAGTTAAGCACACACCCTAATGTCTTGGAATTGAATTGGAAATCTCAATATGAACTCATAAAATATTTTATGTATGTGTCCATCTATCTATTGGCATACAAATATTTCTTAGTTCAACTGCCAATCCAGTAGCAGTGAGCATTCCTCACCCACTAATAGAAACCAACCCTTCTTGGAGAAACAGTTGCTTCCAAGTCTAAGCCGGAAATGTGTAAGATGAGCCTGGGATCTCTTATAATACCAGGGAGCCGGGAAGTTATCAGAGGCCACAGGGGTCAGGCAGGGGAGCACAAATTTGATGTCTGGCATTCTCCTTCCCCCAATAGTTTAAATAGTTATCATAACTAAAATTTTAAAAATCAAATACGTGTCAGAATTCCTTACATTTACTTTTGATCAGCAAATGTTAATAATGTAGGCATGGGATGCCACCATAATCTTTTTAGTAGTTAGTATTTCTAAAGGTTTTACTCCAGCCTCCTTCAGGCCTACCCAAGAGCCCTCCTTGATCCAGAATTTAGAGGCTCCTGCCTGATGTAATGACAAAAGAAATCCACCAGGGGGAGAGATAAGCAAGTATGTAAATCATCCATCTATATCCGGGGGCGATTTGACTCCAGGACTC
Organism: Homo sapiens; assembly: GCF_000001405.40. Classification (NCBI taxonomy): domain Eukaryota; kingdom Metazoa; phylum Chordata; class Mammalia; order Primates; family Hominidae; genus Homo; species Homo sapiens. Next base: position 234,154,938 of record NC_000001.11, read on the forward strand.
CCAGAGATACCAAAATTCCAGGATGCTCAAGTCTCTTAGGCAAAATGATGTGTTATTTGTATATAACCTATGCACATCCTCCATATACCTGAAACCATCTCTAAATTACTTATAATACCTAACACAATGTAAATGCTATGTTAATAGTTGTTATGCTGTATTTTTTACTTCTATTATTATTTATTGTTATTTTTCTTTTTTGTTCAAATATTTTCAATCCGTAGTTGGTTGAATCTGTGTATGCAAACTCGTGGATACAGAGGGCTGATTACATAGGGGGAGAATTGATTTATCTGCTTTGTTTCATTGTTTTAAGACAATTTTATTTGAGAGAGAAATATTACTTTGGGACAGATTGTCTAATAAAGGTTTCTACTGGGACTGGTTTCTTAGCCCCTTCTTTTAAAGGATGTTGATAAACTTCCATGTCCTTCTAAGTGAAAACTGCTATTCACCTGATTATTATTATTATTATTATTATTATTTTTGAGAGACAAAGTCTTACTGTTTTGCCCAGGCTGCAGTACAGTGGCACAATCTTGGCTCACTGCAACTTCTGACTCCCGGGTTGAAGCGATTCTCCTGCCTCAGTTTCCCAAGTAGCTGGGACTACAGGCGTGCCTTAAAAGATTTTAGAATACCTATATTAAACCAGAACAATTAAAATATTGTTAAAATAATGTTACTACCTAAATATACACAGTTTAATGGAAAGGAATAGAAAGTAAGGGATCTAATGACATATAAGAATTAAATGAATGCTAACAATTGCCTGAAAAATTATTGGGGAAAGGATGGATTATTCAAAGATAGGAGAGTTAGAACTCTACTTCACACAATATACCAAAAAAAAAACCCCAAAAACAAAAACCAATAGGGTGGAGTAATTTTTAAATGTAAAAAATAATATTCAATTACTATAAGAAAATATGTTCCATATTTATATATTCTTTTGGTCAGTAAGACTTTTCTAAACATGATACCAAATGTTGAAGCCATTAAAAATATACTGATAAATATATCTGTCTAAAAACTTGAACTTCTATTTGGTGAGGAATACCAAAAAGAAAATTAAAAGGTAAACAACAAATTGGAAAAATTATCTATAACATATACAAATCAAAAGTTTATACTTTTAATATATGAAAAGGTTTCAAAAATAAGACAAAGAACCACCAATGAACACATTAAACATATTTCAAGTTAACAATGTCATGGATAAAAAAAATTAACAATGTCAAGAAATAGAACAAAGGTGATAATTTTTTCCACATTGGATTGGAAAAGATTAAAAAGAACAGTAATACTCGGAGTCTGGGAGAATGTGGTAAAGTTGAAAATCATACATTATTGGCGCAATTACAAATTGGTACGACCTCTCTGGAAGATAATTCCGCGATACGGCTGAAGCCTTTGTAAAGTGCACACACTGTAACCCCGCAGTACCACTTCGAGAAATGTACCCAAAAGCGATCATCGAGTATGCGATATGGTGCACAAAAACGTTCAGGATTAAAAGACAGATAATGTTGGTGAGGATGAGGAGTCGTAACTGTCATGCATTGCTGATGGAAACGGAAAACGGTAAAGACACTTTGGGAAACAGTTGAGCAGTTCCTCAAAAAGCTACAGTTACTTAGAAAAAAGTTTAACTTAGAGAACTCTAAGGGCCTTAGGTGTATATTCAAGAGAAATGAAAACATATACCCACAAAACAATCTTGTATAGGAGTGTTCAGAGCAGCATTATTCATCATAGCCAAAAAGTAGAAATACCCCAGATCTCCATTAACTGATGAATAAATAAACAAAATGTGATATATCCATACTTTTTATTAAGTAATAAAAAGAAATGAAGTACCGATACATGATACAACATGAATGAACCTTGAAAATATGATGATAAGTGAAAGAAGTCTGTCACAAAAGGGCACATGTTGTATAACACCATTTAAATGAGGTGTCCAGATTAGGTAAGCGCAGAGAGACAGCAAGTAGATTAGTAGTTGCCTAGGGTTGAGGAGGGTGGGAAATAGAGAGTGAATGCTAACGGGTACAGAGATTTTGGGAGGAGATGATAAAAATGTTATAAAATTTATTACGGTGGTGATGGTACAACTCCATAATTATGCCAAAAACCGTTGAAGTGTGCACTTTAAGTGGATGAATTGTATAGTATGTATCTTATATCTCAATAAAACTGTAATTTTTAAGATGTTCAGAATGATACTCTTAACAATAGGGGAAAAATCTGTATGTTTTACCTCCTCCCTGCTACCACGTAATCCAAGCCATCATCATCTCATCCTTAGATTATTGCAATGACCTCTTAGCTCGTTTTTCTTTTTTATATTCTCATCTCCTGCAGTCGACTTTCCACGCAGCAGTCGGAGTGACCCTTTTAAACATAAGCCAGATCACGCTGCTGCGCTGCTCAGAACCGTCCGTGGACTCCTACCTCGTGCAATAGCCACTGGGCACTAGTGGCCTGGCGATTACCTCTCTGACATCATCTTCTACTTTGGTGTATATTTAACATATTTCCATATTAATAATTAAAAAAAAGAAGGAAAGGACCCAATTTTATTGAGTTAATTTACATGAGGACGCAATTCTGAAAACACAGTGCAAGCATGGTTGTTTTCTCTCGGGAAAGATTTTGTTTTCAGCATCCATGTCTTCACACGGCACTTGAGCAAGGTGGCGGGGCCCATTTCCTTTGCACATTGTATTCTCCTTGTACTCTGGGTTTTTGAATCATTAACCTCATTGGCTGGCACTTACAGTACATGCAAAGCTGCTGGTGGCTCACGTGCAGAAACTTGATGAAGCACTTAATTCTTAATTTTATATTGTTCTGCATTCAGACCTGATCATGACATTTCTTCACCAGAAATAACTCTGTTGAAAGGAGGAAAAACAGGAAAGTATTTCAGGAGGCATGTTGTTTGACTTTTTTTTCTTTTGGTACATACGTCAATATTTTGTGATTTTCCATACTTCCCAATAAAATGGCCTCTGAAACCTTGCAGGTGTATTGACTCTTAGCTTGTTTCACAGCCATTTATGAGTCGATTCAGCCAGTCATCTACTTCCGGGACTCATCTTCACTAAATCATGACTTTAACTTTAGCCTCTCCTTTGTTTCTGGGGTTGAGAAGTGATGGTTCAGATTTCAAACAAGATTCTTGTTTCTTGCATTTGGACCTAATGTGGGTGAGGGAATAACTTCATTTTCTCCATTCCGTTAAATCGTGTTAGTCCTGCAAGCCATCTTATTGCTTCTAACTAATCTGCATAATTATTTCTACTAACAGAATTACCTAAAAATAGTTTTAATTGCTTTCCTTGTTGCAAAACTAATACATATCTATTGTAAAAAACTTCAGAAGATATGAATAAGCAAAGTTATCTATAACTTTACCCCAACAATGGGATAGTTGTCTATCCTTTCAATACTTATAGTTTTGCTTACATTAAAAATTGAGTTATTTTCTATAATACTTTATTATTTCTTCACTGAAAAATAAATACATATTGAATACTTTCTGCCACATATTTTTACATCATAGACATTTCTATATCATTTTTCATCACTGTCTAGTATTTGTTGGTGTGGACATACTATAATCTACTATAATCTCCTATCATTGGGTATTTAGTTTCTAGTTTTTCATGATCATAAGGAAGCTTTGTTATAAACATTCTTCTGGTTTAATATTTGCATACCTTCATGATTTCCCTAGTATCAACTCCTAGACATGGAATTGGTTGTCAAAAAGCATGTGCATATTTAAGACGTTCCCTGTATTTTGCCAAATAATTCATTCTCTTTGTATTTTGTCAAGTACATTACCTGTGGTGGACAAAAGATCTGAGAACAGTGAACTAAGAAATATATGTAATCACTGCTTTATAAGATATTAGAAAAGAACCCTCCCTTTTTTGTGCTTTATAGATAAGAAAACTAATGAACAAAGGAGATTTTTCCCCATAGTAGACCATACTTTTATGAAATAAATAATAAAGATATTTAGAGTTTTTTGTTGATCTGTTGAACTTTGGAACAATGTTTCACTATTTTTTTAATGGAACCCACTTTTGCTTCATACCAGGACTGCATGGGATCTCTAATACCCAGAGCATTATAGATGTTATAGAATTTTCTCAGTGCAAGACTCTTCACACACACGAATGTGAAGTTTGTGGAAGATGTGCAACATGTTTAAGATGAACATTTACTAACTGAGACCTAAACCCACGCATGCCATTCTCAGTATTTCTAAGAAACTAACCCTTGCCAAGGAAAACAAGCAGTAAGAAGACCTACTGGCACTTCAGACACTTAAGAACCTACATAGGCTGGGCACGGTGGTTCACGCCTGTATCCAGCACTTTGGGAGACTGAGGTGGGTGGATCACCTGAGGTCAGGAGTTTGAGACCAGCCTGGCCAACATGGTGAAACGCCGTCTCTACCAAAAATATAAAAATCAGCTGGGCGTGGTGGCAGGTGCCTATAATCCCAGCTCCTCAGGAGGCTGAGGCGGGAGAATCACTTGAACCCGGGAGGCAGAGGTTGCAGTGAGCCGAGATCACACCACTGCACTCCGTCTCAAAAAAAAAAGAACCTATATGGAGAAGAAACTTTTGCCAATAAAAAAGTACTGAAGTAACATTGCCTTGGGAATTCTCAGATAGGCTTTACAAACTGGAGCCATCAATGTCTCACCCCCTTTGGTCACCCTCTTTGTAATCTCATAATCAAAATTTTGTTTCACATCTGGAATTTTCCTTCTAGAGTGTAATTTGTAGGCAAGGGATTCATCCATGCCTTCATTCCCTCACTCATTCAGTTGTGTATTTACCCTCATGGTCTAGGTGGGGATGCTAAAAATAATCACTACACAATCATGGCAGAAATGACCTGAAAAGTATACCTTTATCAGGCCCTTTGTGTCTGGACTAATTTCTCGTAAGATTTTAGACCTGTATATGTTGCAGGAATCACTGGTGCCAAAGACCTACTTGAGGACAATGGGGCATAGAGAAGTTAAAGAGACACAGAGGACATTTTTCATGCACTCAAACCTGCCTCCTTCATTTACTAGGATCATTAATATCTGTTGATAGGATTTGGATTCAAGGATAAAGTCCTATATTTCTCCATCAAGGGCCCAGCCTCACACCATATAGGCTAATGGCAATTGCCATGAAAACTCAATATCCTCACTAAGCATACATGATTATCTTTGAGGACAGAAATATATAGCAGGCCTACACATAACAATTTTAAAAATAGCACCCCTGCTCTTCTTCCACTGCCGTTAATGTTGAAGTTTCAGGCCAGCATCAACCCAGGAGCCATGAAGGACTCAGGGCTGTACTTGCAAGAAAGTTAGAGAAGACCCAGGCAGCACAACAGCGTTGTTGGAGACAAGGCTGTTCCAGTCTTTTGCTATAGGAGCAACAGTGGCTCTGGAACTCAAGGCCTCAACTCCAAAGGTGAAGCTAATGGCTCCACCTCTGTCCAGGGAGAACCTAGAGACTTCACTTGTGGACTTCCCCTTTGAGTTGGGTTAAATATGGATCACCCAAGCCAGGGTACAAGAAGTGTCAGAAAGACACTATTCCTATTACGCCAGGACAATAAGCACAGGCCAGGACTGTCCAGGGCAACCCAGGACATATGGTCACTCTACTTACAGTGGTCCCCAAGTCTTCTTGAGGCTCTTGGTCCCAGCTAACCAAGAGCATCAGGAAGCACTGAGCCCCTTGTTAACCCAAATGATTGACTAGCCAACAGTCCTAGTCCCATCTTCATGAGACCCTATGGCTTTCGCTGCAGCTGTTCTCTGCTCTGTGAGGCAACTTTAACCCAAGTGTACATGTCATGCATATTGGACACACATCAAAGCTGAAGCACAGTTATCACTTATAAAATTGGGTATCTTTTCTCTTTGTGTGGATCAACATCTGTCTTTGTCAACAATGCCATGTATGTCATCCATAAAATGCTAAATTAATAGGGTCAGGCTCTTCCTCCATCTCTCTTGGATCCAGGCTTTCCTGCTTCTCTCCATTTCTGTGACCCTCAGTGACGATGGCCCAGGCTCCAGACACTGCAGCTGCTTTGTAGTGTCACCCTGCTCTCAGCACTCACCTTCCACTCATACTGTCATTCTGCACTCAACAGGAAGAATTACCAGCCTTGGTTCAGTTACTTTTTGTGATTTACTCTGTGCCAGCCACTAGGCTAAGTGTTTTCACTTGTTGTCTCACTTATCTCACAATGGCCTTCCGAGGTAGGCAGTATTATGATCCCAACTTTACAGATGGAGGAAAGAAGCATAGAAATGTGAAGTACCTTGCTCGAGATCAAATTGGTAGTAGATTCTGGGGCGAGGATTTTAATCCAAATCTGTCTTTCTGCAGAGGTTGATGCTACACTGCACTTAGAGCTACACTATGCTGCTTCCCATCTTTTTGGCAAATTATGCCTCTTCCTGGGCTCTTCTAGTGACTATCCATCAAAACTCCTTGAGGCCAGGCACAGTGACTCATGCCTGTAATCCCAGCTCTTTGTGAGGCCAAGGCAGGCAGATCACTTGAGCCCAGGAGTTTGAGACCAGGCTGGAGAAACCCCATCTCTACAAAAAATACAAAAATTTTCCAGTTGCTAGCAGCTGGAAAATGTAAAACAAAAAATACGTATATAAAACTTAGCGAGGTGTGGTGGCATGCACCTGTTGTCTTAGCTACTAAGGAGGCTGAGGTGGGAGGATCACTTGAGCCTGGGAGGTTGAAGCTGCAGCGAGCTGTGATCGTGCCACTGCACTACAGCTTGGGTGACAGAGTGAGACCCCATCTCAAAAAAATATATATCAAAATACTTTGGCTTGTGCATAAACTTCAGGGCCCAACCCCCTGGGCACCCTTTCTGGATCTCCCGCTGAATGCAAGATTTGATGTGTACTTTCCTCCCCTCTCCCACCCATTTATGGCCTCAAAGAGATACTGCAGCCTAACCCCCTGCCCCAGTTCGTATCTAAGCACAGGTCCCTTGGGCCACCCTTGCTGCCACCCAGGTCTAATCGACCTGTGCTGTCTAGGGCTCACCCCTACCTCTTTACTGATTTACCCTGCAGCAGGGCTCGCCATTGCTGGGAGAAAACCCATAAGTTCTTGACCCTCCTGAGATGTGCTCCTCGGTGCCAGCCCAGCCTGTGGTGTAGATTCATGGTGAAATCCAACATAGAGAGGACTTGCCACTGGTCAGTAGCAGGGTGTCCCATGGAGTGTGGGAAGTCTGTGGCTACGATGCTGTGTCCTCCCTCTTGGAGAAGCTCAGAGTGGCTTCTCTTCCCTGCCCCACTCTCATCCCCATATCCTCAAGTGAAGAGGAGGATTTCATGGATTCCAGGAACATTCAACTAAGCCTCTGTGCAAAAAAAAAAAAAAAAAAAAAAAAAAAAAGCAATCTTTAACAGAAGGTGGAGAGGGATTATAAGTGGAACCTGGGCAACACCTGCTTCAGTTCCTTTCCCCTTCTAAGGAAGGCTGTCTCTCCTGTATAGCTGGTGTGACAGGGCAGGACTGGGTCCAGACCACTTTCTCCTTGCCCCCCTCACCCCTCCCTCACCTAGCTCACCTCTGCTCTCCCCAGCCCAGCCCCTCACATACCAAAGCCCAGCAGAGCTTAGAGTGAGCAGATTTCTCTTTACTTGACCTATGTAGCCATTGAAGCCTTAATACCTCAAGGCCTTAGAAAAAGGAACCAAGGATATCAGAGCAAAAAAGTCAAAGGGATGATTAAGACTCAGTCCAGCTTGCTGGCAGGATGGCAGATGATAAAGGGCCTAAGCCAGACAGTAATGAACCCTGTCTGTTTGCCTGGGGTTCCCTGTGCATATTTCTCTCAGGAATTCAAGGTGTGAAGATAGCTTAGTCATTGCCAAATTCTTCCTAATTCATAGAGAGGGTACCCAGCATGCAGCTTCCCCTGGGTAGTAACACTCTGCCAAAAGTAGATGCTCTAAGAATGTTGATGGTAAAGAAGAATCATGACCTAGGTCCCACTCTGCCCATGTCTGTAAAGACTCCACTCTCCATCACAGCTCCCACAGCTCCTTGCACAGACCGTTTTGCTCTTTGGGGAATTTCTCCCTCTCCCTTGAAGGTTGCTCAGTGCCTATACCCAGAAGGACTACCCCATTTCTAAGACATCACAAAATTTTGAACTTTCATCAGTTTTGGTTTTTTCTTGCAGTATTTGGTATTTCCGCAAGGTACATCATACAATACACCTTAGATGTTGATGTTAGTACCTTCCTTCTCTCGTAAGTACCCACATGCCTCGGTGATGCAGTGCACCTCTTGTTTGCTGGATTCTGAGTGTTAGGGAGAAAGAGGAGGGAAGTCATGTGATAGGTGGCACAGGGAAAGAGTTACACACAGAATGGGACAGAGGAAGGCGGAGACAAAGACAGACGTCCTGTAGAGCAAGATCTGGGTTGCTGAGACAGAGTGAGTGAGTGAGTGAGTGAGAGTGTAAACAGGTGACTCCAGCCCAGTGTGTTCAGTGATGGAGGGAGAAGGGCAAGGAAAACAAATGGTGAGTGAGAGGGCCCAGCTTGCCATGCCTGAGGGAACTGCAGACTGGGGCTGCTATGCCTGTCCATTTGATATGAAACACTTCCCTCTTGATAGACTTCCAAGAGCAAATGCTTTCTGTAGAGAAGAACATGCACCCAACAGATGGATGTTTCAGTGCCCATCAAACAGCCTTATTTTTAAACTCATAGACTAAGTTTGGCAAAGCTCTTTCTCTCTCTCCAGAGCTACCCTGTGAACCTGACTTTGATTCTCTTCCAGATCTGCCATGCCCTCCTCCTACGGGGTTTCCCCTTTTGCTGCACCTCTCTCTGAGAAACATTTCACTTCTCTTTGCTCAGTGCCGAGGAGTGAAAGAACTTATTCAGTAACTGTCAGATTTCTTATCCCAATTTCAGGAATAAAAGGAATATTTCTTCTCAAAATAAAATAGAAGAAAAAAATATCTCCTTCCTAATGCAAAAAAAAAGCAAATTAGAATGTAGCAGAGACTGTAGAAGAAAAAGAAGAAATATGGATTGTAGAAATAGCTCTGTCTCTCTCCCTCTCTCTCTTTCTCTCTCTCTCCTCTACCTCTCTCTCCTTCTCTTTTTCTCTTTCTCTGCTTTCGCTCTTCCCCCTACCCTGCCTCCCTTGCTTTTCTCTTTCTCCTTTTCTATTTCTATCTATTTCTTTATCTTTTTCTGTCTCCTTTTCTCTTTCTCTTTCCCATCTCCCTCCCTTACTCCCTCCCATTCTCTCTCCCTCTTTCTCTTTCCCTCTCTTTCTCTCTCCCTATCTCTCTCCGTCTTTCTCTCTCCCCCCTCCCTCCTTCTTTCCCCTCTCTCCTCAACTTCTTTCCCCTCTCTCTCCCCGCTCCCTCCCTCTTTCTTTTTCCTCTCCCTCTCTTCCTCTCTCCTCTCCTGTTTTCTCCTTCCACATACCCCAGGCTTGTGAGTAGCAGCTGAGCAAGTACCATCCACCACCTTGCAGTCACTCCAGGCACAGTCATTGGAAGGGCGGCCACGTGGCTTGCACAGACAGTGATACTTAAAATACAGACATCAAAGCTGTTGGTTTGTTGTTTTTACCTTCTTGTCTAACAGTATGCAGGGTCACCTACCTCCTGCTGGCCCATCACAGCTAGCAGGAATGAAGAACAAGTCCTCCCATGTGAATGAGACATCAGAGCAATTTACCATGGCACTCTGTAAACATTGCTGGGACTTTTCTCAAGGAGAGTTGTGTTTAGCCATTACTGAGACTGAGAAAGATATTTTTCTGACATTTTGCAAAATGATACTGTGATTTGGGTGGGGGGGGGGGTTGGCACAGAGACATTATTTCCTGTGTTTTGGAAAAATAAGATATTGTCTGTAAACAGACAAGTGTTTGAGCTGTTGACCAAACTCTACCATAAATGACTGTAGTACCAACATGCTATAGTTGGGACTGCTTTGGTGAAAGGGCTGCTCAGTTGATTTCATGGTCAGCTTACCTCTAGCTTCAATTTGTGTGTGTGTGTGTGTGTGTGTGTGTGTGTGTGTGTGTGTGTGTGTAAAATAAAACTTTATTTGCAAAAACAGGCTACTTGCCTGAGTAGCATTAGTATATAGTATATATAGCGTATATATAGCATTGAATATAGTTACGGCTTGTTTAAATCTCAGAGTTGACTTTGTAGCATAGATTAAAGGAAAGCACTTAAATTTGCTTATGAGTAGATATTATTCCATGTCAGCAAAGGAGTTTATTTAACATGTCTGTTTCATTCTGTCATCATCTGGTTTTATCCTCTCTCTTATAATTCAGTCGCTATTATGAAGGGCTCTGTGTGTCCTGCTCATTTGCTAGAGAGAGAAGAAAGGCAAAAATCAAATTTTTTGTAGAGAGAGAAGGTCTCCCCTTTCAGTTGAATACAGTTGAATTCAAAAGAATTCAACATGAACAAGTTATACATTAGAAAATATATTCATAAAATAGTGGATCTCAAAACGTTTGGTCTTAGAACCTCTTTACATTATTTTTTCTCCCTTTTTGTGGAGAATGGGATCTTGCTATGTTGCCCCAGCTGATCTCAAATTCCTGGGCTCAAGCCATCCTCCCACCTCTGCCTCCCTATGTACTGGGATTACAGGCATGAGCCACCACACCTGGCTCATTCTTTTTTCTTTTTAATTTTGATTTTTTTATTTCAATAGCTTTAGGGGTACAAGTGCTTTTAGGTTACATGGATGAAATTTGTGGTGGTGAAGTCTGGGATTTTAGTGTACCCCTCACCCAAGTCGTGTACATTGTACCCTGTGGGTAGTTTTTCATCCCTCATCCTCCCTTCCTTCTGAGTCTCCAGTGTCCATTACACCACTCTAGCTGCCTTTGCGCACTCATAGCTTAGCTTCCACTTGTAAGTGAGAACATGCGGTATTTGGTTTTCCATTCCTGAGCTACTTTACTTAGAATAATGGCCTCCAGTTCCGTCCAAGTTGATGCAAAAAATATTATCTTGTTCTTTTTTATGGCTGAGTAGTATTCCATGGTGTATATATAACCGCATTTTCTTTATCCACTCATCAGTTGATGGGCACTTAAGTTGATTCCATGTCTTTGCAACTGTGAACTGAATTTTTTAATAGACTTTAGAGTAGTTTTAGGTTCAGAGCAAATTGAGCAGAAAGTACAGAGAGTTCCCATATACCTCCTGTCCCCACACAGACACAGCCTCCCACACTGTCAACATCCCCCACCAGAGCGGTCCATTTGTTACAACCAATGACCCTGCACTGACACATCATTATCACCCAGAGTCCATAGTTTATATTAAGGCTCACTCTTACTTGGTGTTGTACGTTCTGTGAGTTTGGACAAATGTATAATGGCATTTATCCACCTTATAGTACCATACAAAAGCTTAATTTTAATAATAGAGAAAATAGATCATTTCATCTCCACTATCACCTCTCACCCTTGCAGGAAGGGCAGCAGCTGTCCTGTCTGGGCTGTGTGTGCCTGTCTGGAAGCCAAGCTGGGGCTTAGACTCTAGGGGTATGTTTGGCAGAGACAGGCTGAGGGTGTCCCAGGATTCTGAAGAGAGGACCAGGTGGCCCAAGGGCTGCATCCCCTAAACTTCTGTGTCCCTTGAAGTTCAACAGGATAGGAGGGAGCAGGAAGGCCCTCTAACCTAGGTCAGACAGAATGCTGTGCGGATTGCACTAAAATTAAGGACTCTCGAACCATTCTGGATGCAGTAAGGCCCCTTGGCTTACACCAAGGCATTCTTTAGAAAGTTGAAAGATCTTGTGGTTCCTTTCTCAGTTCACCGTTCTTCAGTAGCAGTTTCATGGGGTTAACTAACAGACCCAGACCACTAGAGAAAGCATAAACTCATGAGGCTTCCATTGTCATTCCACGCCCTAAGGGAATGGATTTGAAATGATTTTTTGCCTCAAGATAGTGGTGTCAGCCACTTGTAGGGTGTGCAAGTAGCCATTTGTCATTGCTCTGGGTCACTTAGGTTTTGCCCAGAAATGGAGAACTGCTCCCCTCTCTGGGGGCCAGATCTATTTCAGGAGCCAGGTTAGAAATTACTATCTACCATTGCCTTCTTTTCATTCTCCTGTCTTTCCGGCTCAGACCCCTTGTGCAAGTCCCTCACACCCTCTCAGCTGTTCATTCCAGAATTGGGATGAAAATAAGAGCTCACATTTTTAGAGCCACCTTTCTATGTCACCATGTCTCATTACGTCTTCACCACACTTCTATTGGCATTGCTGTTTTTCAAGTGGGGAAACTGAGGCTCAGAGAAGCCAAGGAAATGCCTAAGGCCCCACAGCTCACATGGGCTGCAGCCCTGCTGGGAGAGCAGGCCACCTCCCAGAGTGCCCAGTGGGGATGTGCATGACTCACCACAAAGGAGCACTGGATCCCCCCAAATCCATGGCTCCTCAGGCTATCCCATGACAAGTCAATCAAAATGGAGCTACTGTATTTTGATTTAACCTGGCTGGCAGCTCCAGATTTCTCATCTCAAGAATAATATTTGTAGGAGAGTCTTACCACAACAGAGCATCTTTAACTTTTCAGAGTGCTTTCATATCTACTGTAAAATAATAACCACTTTTTGAAGCAGATAGAGCAGCCGTCACAAACGCCACTTCATAGCAAGCAGAGAGAGAAGGATTCATACTGAATAGGTCACATGTGCCGAGAAATCATATCATTTCATCCCCACCACCTCATGGTAGGGTAAATATCATTGATCCCATTCTACAGATAAGAAAGCTGAGGTGAGGTGCGCTGAGGCTAAATGGTTCCAGGTTCCCTAAGGGACCTGTCTTGCCTCCCAGCCCATGTTCTATCCCCTAGACCTGAGGTTGGCGCACTTTCTGGAATAAGCGAGATTGTGAATCTTTTTCTTTGTGGGCCTATAGCCCCTGTTAGAACTACTTAGCTTTGCCGTGCCATTGTAGCCCAAGAGTAGTCAGTGACAATTCCTGCACACTTGTGTGTCTGTATGCAGATGAACTCGTATGTACAAAAACAAATGATAGGCCAGGTCAGGCCTGAGGTCCCTGCCCTGGACCTCACAGTTCTCTGAAGTCAAGAACCTCTAAAGTGGCAAGCTGTGCTTCACTTGAGCCATGGTGCAGACTCAATGCCAGGGTCCTGTCTGCACCCTAGGGCTGGAATATGACTTTCAGATGCTGTCTGAAGGCTCCTTAGAGATTTCCTGCCACATGCGTGGCACTGAGCTTCTCAGAGAAACTGTGATGGCCGGGGTACTCCCCCAGGGGTCCGTGCAACTGGATGGCCTTCAGATCCCTGCTGACGTGGCATGTCACTCCATACAGCCCAGTCATTTGCAGGCACTTCTCCATTAACCTCTAGAGCCCTTCATTCTCCCTTTCTGTAATTAATAAAGTGGAGGTGCAGGACTGTGCTCAGACCATCCTGTAAGTGTCATTGCTATTCTGGCCATCATGCAGCAGAGTGCCTCTCCGGGCCGCCGTTCCAAGTTGGACAGGACAAGACAGCTTGCCAGAAGGTCACCATTGTTTACAGCAGTGGCTGTTAATGCCTCTTGGCATATGGAGCACAGTATCTATGATTCTGCTGCTGAGTGCCTGCCAGGAAATGCAGAGGTGAGGGTTCAAGACTGCATTTGCTATGCCCAGCAGAACAGTGAGGCTGGGCAGTGGCAGGGAGGCCTCTGGGATAGAAAAGTGGCTTTGCGGTCTCAGAAACCTAACCGTGAAGAGGGAAGCCACTGTGGGGACTCCCTCTAGGCAGGAGCAGACACACAGCGAAACGACCCCAGCCCTGCCTATTGGGAGCTGGGGGAGTCACACTCCATCCTCTCTTGGAGAGAGATCTATAGAAGAGGAGATTTATTATGGGAATTGGCTTACATGGTTATGGAGGCCGAGAAAGCCAAGGATCTGTTGTTTGGAAGCTAGAGTGCTAGGAAAGCTGGTGGTGAAATTCAGACCAAGTATAAAGGCCTGAGAACCAAGGGAACTGATGGTGTGACTCCCAGTCAGAGTCCAAAGAGCCGAGAATCAGGACCCCCAGTGGCTAATGCCAGAAGAAGATGGATGTCTCCACTCAAGAAGAGAGCAAATTTGTCCTTCCTCTGCCCTTTTCTTCTATTCCAGCCTTCGGTGGATTGGAGGATGCCCACCCGCATTGGCAAGGGCAGATCTTCTTTACTCAGCCTACTGTTTGAAATGCTCATCTTTTCCAGAAACACCCTCACAGACGCACCAGGAGTGTCTCACCAGCTGCCTGGGCATCCCTTAGCCCAGTCAAGCTGACACATAAGATTAATGATTTCAGTGTAGGAGTCATCATGAGGAGGTCCGGGTCCTCACCTCAGCCCAGCAGATGGTTAGCAACATGACAAGGACAAAGCGTTCCCGGCTGTGGGCTCCCAGGCTCTAACATTCTGGGATTGTGTCACAACGGGCAGCCAGAGGGGCACTGGCCTCTGCCTGAAAACTTTGCTGGATTTCTGGGAGTTTCTGGCTGTGATGCTCTGGACAGGGACATACTGCCTGTCAGGGACATCTTGTTGACCATGGGGCCCACAGCTCCACTACGGGAGGAGGTCAAGTACCTGCTCCACAGGAAGTCCAGGCTTAGAGGCTGCTTTCCTCACCATGGCCCAGTAAGATGAATGTACAGCCCCCAGCTGTCCTGCTAGGAAGGAGATGCACATTCTTCCCAGGGGAACATCTGTTTTGTTTTGTTTTGTTTTGTTTTTGAGTTGGAGTCTCACTCTGTCTCCCAGGCTGGAGTGCAGTAGTGCGATCTCAGCTCACTGCAAGCTCCGCCTCCCGGGTTCACGCCATTCTCCTGCCTCAGCCTCCGGAGTAGCTGGGACTACAGGCACCCACCACCATGCCAGGCAACTTTTTTGTATTTTTAGTGGAGACGGGGTTTCACCGTGTTAGCCAGGATGGTCTCGATCTCCTGACCTCATGATCCGCCTGCCTCGGCCTCCCAAAATGCTGGGATTACAGGCGTGAGCCACTGCACCTGGCCTCCAGGGGAACATCTTAATCCTTCATGCCTCTTCTCCAGCCCCACTCTCTCAGCCTCCTACCCTAAGACAGGCTGAAAGAACAGAACCCTAAGTATAGCCAGTCATGAAGTCCCTTGTGCTGGCACTGTGCTGGGGGCTATTCCATGAGTTACTGTCCCATTTAATCCTCATTGGAGCTTCACAGATGGCCTGACCCCATTATAGAGGGGGGCACGGCAGCTCGTAGGGGTTAAACCACTTACTCGTATGGAAAGGAGCTTGAGCTTGATCTAGCTGTTGCAGAAACAAAGTTATTTCTGTCTCACTGTGCTGTCTCCCAGGTAGGAGCTAAAGCCAAGTAGCCAGTACAGAAGTGAGAATTCTACCACTGCAGCACACGTTTTGACCAGATGTCCTTAGGCGGCTTCTTGGTGGTCAGGTCACCTGCTGGCAGGCAGACCCCAGGGTGTAGAGTACCCGTTCCAACCCAAGACAACCCCGAGTAAGACCCCTCCCAGAAGCAAACGACTCATCTCCCTGAGGTATCCTACCCCTCACCACAGGCCTGAGCTTTTCCTAAGGCTCCAGGATTTAACTTTATAAGTGCAGCATTCACAACACAGACCAAAAACTGCCTGAGGCCAGAGCTGAAAACAAGATTTGGTCCTCAAACAGCAGAAGAGGTGACCAGGTTACCTAACTTAACCTAAGGGTGAGTTTGAGGAGCGTTCAAGGAAGAACATTTACAAGAAGTACTTAACGGTTGCACGAACGCAATTTCCTTTCCTCCCAAGTCACTTTGATGTGGCCTTGCCGTGGGGACAGTCGGCCCCTCAGGATCTTGGCAAGCCAAAGCAGTCTTGTTGGGTGAAGCCAAGAGCACAATTAAGAAATTTAATTTGCAGACTCACAGTTAGCTCACTTAAGAAAACTTTCCATGCATCCTCTAATCATAGAAATAGGTTCAGCGTTTGTCAGCTATGGGGCTGTGCTCTTAATCTTCTCATTCTGCTCACTTCTCCCCAACCCAGGGGTTCCCCAAAGTTTGGTCCTGAAACCACCAGCAGCACCTGAGAACTTGTTAGAAAGGCACATTCCCAGGCCCCATTCCAGAACCCCTGAATCAGAAGCTGGAGTGGGGCAAGGTAACCTGAGTTGCAGCTAGCTCTCCAGGGGATTCTGCATACTGGGACCATTGAGGAAGCCTTGAAGGGTACTAATGCTCTGTCCCCAGCCCCAGAGGCCCTGGCTTAATTAGTCTGGGATGAGGCTGGGACACAGGGATTTTTCAAAACTCCCATGGTGATTCTAACGTGTAGCTGGGGTGACAATGACTGCTTTTGAGAGCTTTGCACAGTGGGGGCGATGTGATCTGGCACATGTTGAGATAGATGTAAATTTCTTACACAGAGGGGGGTGTCTGTGCAGTGCCAATGTCTACTTTAAGATTTACCTGGATAATTATTCAATACAAATTCCTGGCTTCCAAGCCCACCAAATCAAGGAAAGAGCCTGAGAAATTGCAGCTTTTTAAATTAAACTAGTGCCCCAAGACAGATGATACTTATCATCAGAGAGTTGGGGACACTGTGGTTCTCAACAGAGGACACTAGAGGCTGGGAAGGGTAGGAGGAAAGAGAGGATAGGGAGGGATTTGTTAAAAGTTACAAAATTACAGCTAGACAGGAAGAATAATTTCTAGTGTTCTATATTACTGTAGAATAACTGTAGTTAAGAATAATATATAGTTGCAAAGAGCTAGAAGGAACATGATAAATGTTTGAGATGATAGATATGCTAATTACCTTGATCTGATCACTATACATTATATGTACCGGAACATCACTATGAACCCCATAAATGTATGTAATTTTTATATGGACTGTGGACTCAGTTATCCCCCTCACCCCCCACCGCCCTACTTCCCCAACCCCAGAAACTGATGACTGTTTCTACCCAGTGAAAAGTGAGAAGGAATGTCCAGCTCATCTTCTTTTTAGCACAGATTCACATCTGACCATTGCTTGCATGGATTTCTGTGTCCTCACCTTTCCTGGCCTCTAGCACCCAGTTGGACACCTCCAGTCCAGACCCCCACCTAACCTTCTAGCTAGTCCCTAAGCTGAAATCTCAGGGTGCCTTGCAATAGGGTCAGTGCCACAGCCCCAAGAACACATCAATTATTTTTTAACTATTTATTTATTTATGACAAAGTCTTGCTCTTTCACCCAGGCTGGAGTGCAGTGGCACAATCTTGGCTCACTGCAACCTCCACCTCCCAGGTTCAAGGCTGACTCAGCCTCCCAAGTAGCTGGGACTACAGGTGCGTGCCACCACGCCCAGCTAATATTTGTATTTTTAGTAGAGATGGGGTTTCACTGTGTTGGCCAGGCTGGTCTCGAACTCATGACCTCAGGGGATCCACCCACCTTGGCCTCCCGAAGTGCTAGGATTACAGGTGTGAGGCACCTGGCCGAATTGTTTAAGTATTTATTCTTAAAATAGTTCAGTGTCACTTAATGGGATTCATTCTGAGAAACGCATCTCTAGGCGACTTCATCATTGTGCAAACATCATAGCGAGCACTCACAAACCTAGATGGTATAGCCTACTATACACCTAGGCTATATGCTATTTCCTCTGCTTCTAGGCTACAAACTGGTACAGCATGTGACTGTTCTCAATACTATAGGCAATTGTAACACAATGGCAAGTATTTGTGTCTCTAAACATATCTAAATGTAGAAAAGGTACAGTAAAAATGCAGTATTATAATCCGATGTGGCCACAGTCATATATGCGGTCTGTTGTTGACTGAAACATCACTATGCAGTGCGTGGCTGTGATTTTCATCTCACAGGATGTTGCAAAAATAGCAGAGAGGCCCCATGTGTCCCTCTTCCAGCTTCCCCCAATGGTAACATCATCCCTGACCTTAGGGCAAAATTGAACCCAGGAAATTCTCATTGACACAACACAGTTGGGTAGATAACAGACCTATTCAGATTTCACCAAACAATCATTTTTCATGCTTTTTAATGCCTGTGCCCCCTTAACTAAGGGCTCTGATAGCCAGCTGACCAAGGGGTAGAGTCATTGTCCAGCATTTCACTAGGAACAGGTGGAGGGGCTGGAGTACGAACTGCTTTCCAGCTCCCTCGTGGAAGCTCATAAATGATCATGATGAAAATACCAAATACTTATATAGGATTATTATACGCCAGATGTTGTTCTAAGTACTTCAGGTACATTAACTCATTTAGTCCTTACAAAAGCCCTGAAAGGTAGACACTCTTATTATCACCCTAGTACTACATGTGAGGAGCGAGAGGCCCAGAGAGGGTAAGTGGCTTACCCAGAATCACAGAGCTAGTTAGGAGTTCAGCCATAATTCGAGCTAGGCAGCCTGGCTGCAGGGTCTTTGTCCTTCAACCCCATGCATTTCTACTTCCTGCAATGCCACACCCTTATCTCTCAAACTGGGGAACTAATAACCTCTGGGGTCACAGGTTGGAGAACAGAGGTAGGGGGTGGAGCAAAAGCACTGGCTAAGCATGGTTCCAGATTCAGGCAGCACAGAAGATTCATTATTAAAAGCAGCCACAATGTGGATTCGAATGCAAAATCCTTGGGAAGTTTTAGGATGGAATGTGGGGTTTTAAATACCTTTTGCCTTTGCAGTGGGACATTCTGACCATAGCCCCTGCCTCCAGGAGCTAAAGCTACCCCAAGGCCATTTGGACTCCTTCAGTGGGAGAGAAGGGAAGCATTGCCTTAAATTAAGAGTCCAGCCTCTGCTGAGGACAAGAGTTTCCTCCGCTCTCTGACAAATTAATCAGGTCTGAAAGTGAGAAGGTGGGCTTGGGAGCGATTTTCTCCTCTGGAGCCTGGGGAATGTGCCCATGTGTGCCCCACAGGACCCCTGTGTACAGCAGAAAAGGGGCTACCTGGGGAATTAGAACCAGAGGCCTCTTCCAGGCCCCACTCACCCCTCACTCTGGTGCATCCTGATACAAGCACGAGCTGGACAGCTCTGCGTGGCAGTCCTGTGTTCCTGCGGCATGGTGCCACAGAGAATGTTTTGTCCCTGTGCTAATGGCCTCTGTTGAACACTGGCTTTGCCACTTCATGGCAACTCTGTGCCAAAGATGTGAGATGAATGAAGGGAGGCACCAGAGCACCTGTTCACCTCATGTGTACCCTGAGAACAAGCAGATAGTGCCCCTAACAAAACCCACTGGAGACTGAGCCCATAGCCTCCCTGTCCCTTCACTCCAGCCTTCCATCTGTTAGTTCACTACCACCTGGCCTTGCATTAGTGGATCCAAAAACTGGTTGTTTTACTCACTTTGAAAAGATAATGAAAATCATAGCTTCTATTTGTTGAGGACCTACTATGTGCCAGGCACGATTTTATGCTTATGCGTCACAGACACTGTCTTACTTAATCCCGCCCTGTCTCTGAGAGAGCTGGTTATCATCCCCATTCTGCACACAAGGAATCTGAGATTCAGAGAAGTCAGTCACCTGCCCGAGGTCACACAGCTAGCAGATGCTGAAACAGGTTCCACTCCACTGCGTGTATATGTATAAACATCTCTGTGTGTGCATAAACACACTCTTCCCAACCAGAGATCCGGCAGAAAGCACATCCCTGGAGAAAACACAGAAGAAATGTGAGCAGGAGGCTGGAAGGTCCTCTTTGTGAGTGGGCAATCTTGGAAAATGTTTGTGTGAAACATCGTCAACAAGGTGCCTATCAATTTCATTCAGGCAGCAGCCCAACAAGGGCACTGTTCTTTACCTAAGCCACAAAGAAAAAGCTTTCACCAAGGGACCAAGGGAATGTTAGGCAGGGAATGAAGGAGAGAAGGCTGAGATCTGCATCCAACAAAGAGTTCAGTCCTCCTGGGGACAGGAAGGGAGGTGGAAGGCGTCTTGTCATCTGAGATACTAGCAGACTCGTAGGCAGATTTTGCTGCTGATTCCCATCCTATATTTTTTAGAGATCTTCCGTGAATTTTAGAATTTGCTTAGGCTCAGAAAGACGCATACGGCTTTTGTATCTTGAGTGGGGCTGTCACCATAGTTACCCTGTCCAATAAACTTTCTCATTTAAATGCCTCTCACTTCAATGTACTATTTTATTCAGATCTCTGTCTAATCAAGGAGGCTCTAGCAGTATCTGCCCTGGGAAAATCCTCTTCATTTTGGTCCAAAGAAGCAATCTTTATTAACTATTTTCTTCTCTCGCATTGTCCATAAGAAGTAGGACAATTAATTTTTTATCATTTTTCTTAAATGCTATCTGCATTTCCCCTTGTGCACAACAGGTAAGAACCATGTCTTCACCCTTTGATGAAGCAAAAGGAGGAGGTTATTTAGAACCATCCCAAAAACCTATTTAAATCTCCCATGTATTGGAAGAAATAGCAACCCCACACCACCAGCTGGCTAGGAGAGGGTCTGGGCTTCATGCCACGGCTCATGCCTTTAGTCCCAGCTATGTGGGAGGCTGAGCCAGGAGGAGCACTTGGGCTCAGGAGTTCAAGGTTACAGTGAGCTGTGATTGCACCACTGCACTCCAGCCTGGGCAACAGAGTGAGACCCTGTCTCAAAAAAAAAAAAAAAAAAAAGGAAGAGAGTCTAGATAAACCAATGGGTCTGAAGGACTGTCTATGGTTTCTAGACAGCAAAGACCAGGGCCAAGAGCTCAGCTCTCTGCAGAGGACAGAGGCAGCACTGGGTGTGGAGCAGCTCTCAGAGCCAAGAGCCGTCAGTGGGTTCCCAGTAGGATGGCCAGGTCAGTGTGGAGGCAGGTCCACCATCCGCACCCCTTGCTGCACTGTGCCATTTGTCTCCTTATGAGTGTTGGGTCCCTGGCCTCCAATCTTTCTCCAGCCAAATCCTTTCTTTCTCAAGCATATCTCTGAGCCCACTCTCCCCTTCAAAGATTCCACCTGCCTCAAAAGTGCTTGCCAACATTAAGTGCCTGGGACTTGTCCCCACCCACCTTCAGCCCTTCTTCTGAGGATCAGAAGGCAGAGCATGGGACATCCCTTTTTTCTGGGACATAGATGATCTCCTACCTGAGCCATATGCTGGAGTTCCGCATGAAACAAATTCTGCCGCCAAGAAGCTCTGAAGCCATTCTCCACACTCTGCTGCACTTGGCAGCTCCCCATTCTTACCCAAAGAGGAAGAATCACACAGCAGTTGCGGATGGCTAGAGATTTCAAGTGTTTTAAGGCAGTTAATTTTGGGGGAAAAGAGAAAGCTGCTCAAAGAGAAAGCTGCTCCATCTGTTCATAGAGTGGAAAAGCCTATTCCCAACCTGGACAAAGGAAGATCTTTGATGCGATGCTGTGAAGGGACTCAGCTGCAGTAACTCACGCTTGTTCCACTCACAGCACCTTGAGGACCCCAGAGCCCCCTCACCCATAAATGTGTAGGACAAGCTGGTTCCTCTGACTTTGATCTTCTATGAAGGAACAGCATCTCTATCAGAATCAATTGGGAAGCCCTTTGAGATGGTCACTAGACTCACACTCACAGCCCATCAGAAAAGAACCCAGCCAAGGTGGGCTGACAGGGAGCTGAGGGGGTAGCCTTCTGTCTGAAGCATTCTACTTCAGAACCACCATGGCTCCATCTGGGTGGTCATAAAAAATGCAAGTCCCTGGGTTGTACCCCAGACAGACTGAACTTGAACATCTACAAGTGGAGATCAGGAGCCTACTTTAATTAAAAAACAATAACAACAAAACACCTCTCCTGGTTCTTGTTGTGATACTTTCTGGACTACTATAACCATGTTCCAGAAGCTCTGAGCAAGGTCTTTCCCTACACCCAAACAGCACCAGAACTGAAATTTCTTCTTTGGAGAATTATTCTTGTGAGGGCCCTGGAATGTTGTTTGAGTTGTGGTTGATATGGTTTGGCTGTGTCGCCACCCAAGTCTCATCTTGAATTGTAATTCCCACAATTCCCACATGTCATGGGAGGAACCCAGCGGGAGGTGAGTGAATCATGCAGGTAGGTCTTTCCTGCACTGTTCTCATGAGAGTGAATGAGTCTCATGAGATCTGATGGTTTTAAAAATGGGAGTTTCCCTGCACAAGTGCTCTCTCTTTGCCTGCTGCCATCCATGTAAGATGTGACTTGCTCCTCCTTGCCTTCCACCATGATTGTGAGGCCTCCCCAGCCATGTGGAACTGTGAGTCCAATTAAACCTCTTTCTTTTGTAAATTGCCCAGTGTCAGGTATGTCTTTATCAGCAGCATAAAAATGGGCTAATACAGTGGTCTTCTAAGGCTTCAGGTTAAACCATAAATACTCCTAAGAGGGAAGCACCTCCAAGCCACCTGGATGAGAGAAGTACACAAGAACAGAGCTAAACTCTCTTTGTGAGTGAGGAAGCCAGAAAGGGGGAAAACAGCATGAAAAAGCCTAGGGGTTCATGGACAGGCTAGGACCCTGCCCAGTGTCGAAGCCCCCAATGCAAAGACCACATAAAGACGGCTTTACTACACTTACTGATCAGGGAGAGCACTAACTTGTCAGAGTCTGTGTCTCTAAAGGAGGAACTTACAGAGTTGTAGGGGCTCAGTTAGTTATGGGGTACTGTTTAAGGTAGAAGTTAGGAAGCAGAGATTGGTAAGAATTTGCAAATCAGGTGAGTTGCTGAACTCAGATGGTCTTTGAAATGCATGGGTCCATGAGAAGTTACTCTTAACTCAGTCCGTGGTCTTATATTGGAACATATGGATTGGAACTTGACAAGCTGACATCAAAACAATTTGATCTTAGATAGTACAGGGCATGTCATGGTTTAATACAATTTTCTGTTGTGCAATCATAGTACAGTTTTGCTTGGATGGCATCTCTATCATTTCTCACCGCCAAACAAGAACATCAGCTCATCATTGCTTTATAATCACTTGAGCGCATGCTTTACTTATCACACTGTAACCCTTTCCAGAAACCAAATTCATAACTTGAGAATGCTAAAATGAGATTCTGGAAACTTGTTCCAAAAGAGGAATAAAAGTGTTAGAACAATGATAGCATTTTAGTAATAAGAGCACCATGCCCCAGTTGCCTCCTCTGAAAGACTATTATCATTCAGTTGTGGAAATTCCAGTGGGCCCATCACCCCACTACATACTTGGGCTATGTTGCTTCTCACATAAAGTCCCGAGGCATAGGTGGTAAGGAGATCACCTAGCCCATGCCCCTTGCCACCGAACTCATCCCTCCAATGCTTTCAGTCAATTGGAATACTATGACTTTTAAGAATAAGCACACTACATATATTTATCTGGCCATTTTCAGCTGCCATTTATATTGTTTCTCTCATTGACCTTCTCAGAAGTCTTAGGAGATAGGTCAGGAAGCTTCTACCCTCTCCTAAGGAAAAAAAAAAAAAAGACTTTTTAGAACAGTTTTAGGTTCACAGCAAAACTAAGCAGAAAGTTCCCATATAACCCCTTGCTCCCATACCCGCACAGCCTGCCACACTGTCAGCATCCCCCAGTGGTGTGCTGCATTTGCTACCATTCATGAACCCATACTGACACATCATCACCACCCAGAGCTCCTAGTTTACATTATGGTTCAGTCTTGATGATGTACATTCTGTGGATGTACATCATCCACAGCCTGCCACACTGTCAGCATCCCCCATTGGTGTGCTGCGTTTGCTACCATTCATGAACCCATACTGACACATCATCACCACCCAGAGCTCCTAGTTTACATTATGGTTCAGTCTTGATGTTGTACATTCTGTGGATCTTGACAAATGTCTAATGACATGTGTATCTATCATTACAGTATCAGAGCCATTTCATTGCCCTAAAAATCCTTCCCCCAACCCCTGGAAATTACTGATCTTATACTATCTCCACAGTTTTTCCTTTTCCAACATATCATAAGCTGGACTCTCGTCTCCTTTTAATGAACATGGAAACGTGCACAGAGAGGTGTGTGATGGCTCAGTGTGATACAGGCAGCCCCAGGTGTTCCATCTCCAGGCCCCACATTCCCTCCACTGAGCCTCCTTCACGACTCTGTTTCTTGACTCTGCAGAGCTGAGAACTTCCTCAGCTGCGATCATTTCAGACCTGAGTAGAATAGAACTCCTACGCCGAGTGTTTCAGTGAACAGAGAATTTTAGGGAATGTTCCAATTTGGCTGAAGGTCCATCTTCTTGGTGAAGCTAATAGATGAAGCTAATGGAAAGCATTTAAGACAAAGACAATTAGGGGAGACTTTGTTTTATAAAACAAATCTGAATACTTGGGAGAGCAGGTTTAGCTCAAATGTTCAAAAATTCCTTCACTAATACCCGGCTCTAAAAACATTTTCTTAGTTGACAAATAGTAATTGTATGTATTCGTGATGTACAATAATTGTACATCATGGTTCTATTTCAATACACATAAGGTATAGTGATCAGTCCAGGGTAATTCGCATATTTATTATCTCAAACATTTATCATTTCTTTGTGTTGGGAACATTCACTATCCTCCTCCTAGCTATTTGAAACTAATAATATATCGTTGTTAACTATAGTCATCCTACAGTTAATACCTGGCATCAGCACTGAGTTGAAACACATCTAAGGAAAAGAAAGGGTTTTATGAGCCAAGGACATGGCATTAACTCTCTTGAATTTTTACCAATTATGTTAAAAATAACCATGCAATTCAGGTTCAATTAAAGAGGAGAATAAAGGGAGTGGAGCAGCACATAGCAGAATGAAGCATTTATCTGAGACTGACAGCAAAAGCCTCTTTGACTTCAGCAGTGGAATTCAGTATGCTTCTTTAGAACGAAAGAGCAAAAGAAAAAAGGTAAAAAGCCTTTCCCCCGACTCTATCCTCTTCTCAAGTTCCATGACCTTGGGCTGTCAGACTTACTGCAGAAGGAAAATTTCAGCAGTTCAGCAGTATCACTCCTATAGCTCGATCCTAGAATTGTTTGGGCTTGATTTCCATAGACATTTTTTGTAACCCACTGCCAACCTCTAGGAAATAGGGATGAGTGACAACAGCACCTGGCTAGAAATGACAGTCTGTGGCTCCAGTTCTGGTGGTTTGTTGGTTCTACAGGTGAGCCTCAGGTGGTCATCTCCCCACTGTGGGGCTCTCTGACTTCCCTCTTTTTCAAAAGGATGTGGCTAATCATTCACATTAGATCTTCCCAAAGATGCCTAATGATCTTAGGGTCAGTGCATGCCATGGTGTTTCCTTGGGTGCAAGTTTAGAGCTTACTGAAATAGGGACAGAGGGATGGCCACCTTGACCTTCAGGTTTTCTTAAATCCCTTTCTTCAGAAGGAGGGGCTCAGGTAAAGGAAACACATCACTTCTGCATGGTGAATGCAGCTGAGAGCACACTCCTCCCTGCTAAGTGAGACCTAGCTAGCAACTCAAGGAAGATGCTCATGTCCCACTAGGACTTTAGAACACACACATGCACACCTTTATCTAACTCCAGGCATCTGGTTAGGAGAGATCATGTCGCTAAATTTAGAATTGTCAGGTCACTCTCTATTTAAAGTTGTAGTCTTGGGGACTTCATTCACCTCTCTTCCTATTTCCCTCATTGGCCACCTCCTACTGCAAAGGCACCTGAGAGTGGATTTGAATCCCATAACGTTTAGAGGAACCTTGGAGTAAAGTGTTCCAGAAATAAAAGTCATCACATACCCAGGCAGGGAAGGAGGGAAGATACAGGAGATTCCTATTCCTTTATTTAATTTTTATTAATTTAATTTTGTCTTAGCTTTTTATTATCAAAAATTCAACATTTACAAAGTGGAAATCGTACAATGAACTGCCATGTATCCATCACCCAGTTTCAACAATTAGCAACTCAAGACCAATCTCATTTCATCTATACCACCATCCGTTCCCTCTTCCCATCAGATTGATTTGAAGAAAATCCAGACATCATATAATTTCTTTTGAGGCATTTCTAAATGTATGTATTTCTTAAAAATGGCCAGGCGCGGTGGCTGGATTGTAATCCAGCACTTTGGGAACCTGAGATGGGTGGATCACTTGCAGTCAGGAGTTGGAGACCAGCCTGGCCAACATGGCAAAATCCTCTGTCTACAAAAAAAAATACAATAAATTAGCCAACATGGTGGCATGTTCCTGTAATTCCAGCTACTTGGGAGACTGAGGCACAAGAATCACTTGAATCCAGGAGGTGGAGGTTGCAGTGAGTCGAGATTGTGTCACTGCACTCCAGTCTGGGTGACGGAGTGAGACTCTGTCTCAAGAAAAAAAAAAAAAAAAAGAAAGAAAGAAAAAGAAAAGAAAAAAGAGAGAAAAAAGAATAAGCACTCTTTTTTAAAATGTTATCACAGTATTAGAAATTATCCACTGTTTGATCCCTCCAGTTATCTCAGAAATCCATTTTTAAATAGTTTGTTTGCATCAGGATCTAAATAAGGTCCATATCCACATGTTGCAATTAGTTGACAGGTCTCTAAAATATCTTTTAATCTATAGGTGCCTCCTCCATTTTTTCCTTGCCTCTTCTAACTCATTTGTTGAAGAGAGCAGTTTGTCTTGAGAATTTTCCACAGTGTGAATGTTGCTGATGGCATCTCTGTGGTGTCATTTACCATGTTATTTTGTCCTCCGTATTTCCTGTAAGTTGATAATTAGATGTAATTAGATAAAAGTTTGCTTGCATTGTGACCTTATTCTGGTTTTTTCTTTATTTCTTTGTTTTTGGTTTCTTTTTTAGGATAATTCACATGTGGTTCTGTGTATTTTCATCACAAAATACATATTGTCTGGTTATCTGTTTATCAATAGCAACTATTTATGAACTGCCTAAATTCATTAATTGATCAGAGATTGTCCAGTAGTTATATTCTATCATCTTCTTTTTACTAACTGGAAAACTTCTGTAAAGAGAAGCTTCCTCTCATCAATGATTTGATTTCCCTAAAGTACATTTCATATACGAATGGCGAAAGGAATTAATTTTTTCCTTTTTTTAACTGATTTAAAAACAGTAAGTTGGATTTCTAATATCTCCTAAAGTTAACCAGTAAGGTTTTTTCCAAATATTTTTATAAATTCAGGGATTCATGCATGTTCTGTGTGTTCAAGTCCATTACAGTTATTATCCTTAATGATATTCCAATTGTCCCTTCATTGGCCAGAGCAAGCTTCTAAAAGTTAGATCACTTCCTTTTGACCTGACTCTTTGAGAGCTAGATTGATTGATTGATTGATTGATCTCTTGTATGACAACATGTTCTGGAATCCATCTTGCACATTTATTACTCCATACCTGGAATTAGCCATTTTTTAAGGAGCCCTGTGTCTTTCAGTAAGAAACAGTATTGAGAGACCCTGATCTGGGCTCTAGGAGTGCTGTTGCTTTCTTCAGCTCCATTGTCTGGCCGTGTCCTGGTTTGTTCACCTTCTCCTATTGGTGGGTATTTGTGCTGCATGTAATACATATCCTGTGCATACATCTTTGGGTATCTTTCTTGAGATCGATTGCCAGAAGTAGGATAATTGGAGCAAAAGGTAAATTTATACATCATTTTTCTGGACAATGCCAAATTCCTCTTTATAGGGGTTGTACCATTTTATATTCCCACCAGCAATGACCGACAGTGCCCATTTCCCCACAGCATTGCTAATTACATGATATTGTCAAACTTTGGGATTTTTTCCAATTTGATAAATGAGAAATCATATTAGTGCAGTTTTAAATTTCATTTTTCTCTTATGAATGAGATTGAGCATATAGTGAAGTGCTATTTGCATTTCTCTTCCTGTGAACTCTGACCATATCTCTAGTCCATTTTCTATACAATCATTGGTCTTTTGTTTCTCTATTTTTCTAATCTTTTCTATATTAGGGATATTAATCCTTTGAGTTATAATTTACATTTTTAAAATTTTATTTGCCTTTTTACTTTGCTTAAGACTTTTTGTTTGTTTGTTTTTGAGATGGAGTCTCACTCTGTCACCCAGGCTAGAGTGCAGTGGCACAATCTCAGCTCACTGCAACCTCCACCTTGCAGATTCAAGCAATTCTCATGCCTCAGCCTCCTGAGTAACTGAGATTACAGATGCACACCACCACACCCAGCTAATTCTTGTATTTTTTTGTAGAGGCAGGGTTTCACCATATTGGCCAGGCTGGTCTCGAACTCTTGACCTTAAGTGATCTGCCCACCTCAGCCTTCAAAGTGCTGGGACTACACGCGTGAGCCACTGCACCTGGCCAGATTTTCTTAATGATACAAAAGTTCTTATTTTTATAGAATCATCTTTATAAGTTTTTTTCTGATTTTTTTCTGGATTTTGAAAGAAACCATTTAAGAAAATGCATATGGTTGTTTTTTACGTATGTAAATATTTCAGAGTGATGTATTCCAATTTTTTAAAGCAAATGAATTCTTATTTTGTCATTGTGAAAACCTAAGGTACTCAGGACTTGACATGAAATAGACCTTCAGTGAGTGTATATGCATAAATACGTAGCAGGCTGTATCCTTTTTCATTAAACGATACTGTGTCGCTGGCCTGGTCGACTGAGTCCTTGGTAGCTCTATATCCATATGTCATCAATGCCTGTATGCAGAGTTTATCTTTTGTCAGTTAAGGACAAGCTGTACAGTGTGGCTCCCATTATTTAATAATGGTGACTATGACCCTGTAAATGTTCGTATCTCATTTTCATACGACTTCTGGTTCAAGTACAAAATACCACGCTGTGGACCCATTCACAAAGCCATAAGGGTGCCTACCCCTGTCTTCCTCTCTCCATTCATTCATTTTTTGTTTAACAACATTCCTTTGTTGAATACCTGCTATGTGCTAGACACCAGCAGAGCAGTTTACAATTTATTCTATTTATCTGTTAACCTACACTCATTGAGATCTTAAGAGACCTATCAGCTATAACAAAAAAAGGAGCACTCAGTTCAAATTCACATTGGTTACTTTGTAGGCTATGTGTTAGATGTATTGAAAATATGTATAGCTGTTTTAAGGATATTGTTCTTTGCTAGTTAATTCTTTACTAGCATGGAACACAGTTTTTTTAAAAAAAAAAAACAAAAAACCTAAATGCACATGTTGCTATGTCATTTATCATCAGTAGTTGGATTACTTAGGAACCATAATGATCTTCCTTGCTGCTATTGCTTACATTGCGACTTTTCTTCTTTCCCCAGGAAATAGGATCTTATTAAAAATATTCAGTCCCATAGCAAAATATCATTTCTCTGTGTAAGCTTGATGTTTTCAGTATTCAAACTATTTTATGTGGTTTGTAAAGTTGACAAAACAGTGGCTTCTGGAATGAAGCATGTTTTGAGCCTACACACTGTGAGACCTATGACTTTAATATTTAGCAGTGATAGAGAAAACCACCCAAGGAATGCTTATTTAATGGGCAGGAAATTTTCGAGGCTATGAGACCTGACATTTTGTCTTTTTTGTCAGCGCCGTCCCATAGTGCCTGATGCATGTTGTTTTTCTCATAGAAGGAACGTGGGAATGCTGCCGCAGGCCAGAGCAGGTGGGAGGAGTGTGGAGCCCATCCTGGCTCTGGGATGACCAAAGGCCAGCACACAGTTTCCAGGGCCTCTACATATTTGTTCCTCAAAGGGAACTGAGGACTCAGCTCCGCAGGCCATGGTGGAGAATAGGTGAAAGAGCCCATGATGAATAACTATTTATTGAAAATCTACCACACACGTGACATTGTCCTAGATATGATAGTCCCTTGGTACTCAAAGTGTGGTCCCTAGACAGACCAGCTTTGACATTACCTGACAGCTTATTAGAAATGCAGAATCTCAGGGCCTGCCCCCAGAGAGACTCACTGAGTCAGACTGCATTTTAACAAGATCTTGGGCATTTGTACCACACACTGCATCTGAGAAGCATTCTATGGAGAACACCAAGGTGGGCACAGTCCCTGCGAAAAAGCAACCCTGCAACAGGAGGGAAGCTACATAATCATAATGTTATGAATCTAAACAATACATCGAGGGAGAGTAAAAGACACAGGAATGATTATGAGACAAATACTTGCAGAAGGAGGAGGGAGCTCTACAAGATGGGGTGACCAGGAAAGGCATTCTGGGGTGGGGGTGTACGCTGGTTCTGGGAAGTTGGGTAGGATTAGAGCCAAGGAGAAGGAGAGGACACTTTGGGAGGCAAAACCATCACCAGAGGTGAGAAGGGACACCCGAGATGTGTCCCAGGATCGCTGAATATCCAAATGTGTCTGAAGCCAATCGCATTGCTCAGCTCTTTGCTGGACTCTTCACTACGAGGAGTAGAAAGAGGCAGCCCTGCAGAAAAGTGAATGTTCTAGGAGACTAGCAAATACATTTCATTTTGTAATTTTAAGTTAGGCCATTCCAAAAGGTCTATTTATTATTCATTAATTAGTAGCTTGTGTAGTACCTAAGGCATTAATGCTTCTTCTGGGGTGGAACCCTTGGCTAGCCTGCCTTCACATGGCTGGGGCACTCCAGTGACCTCTGTCCTGGATGCTGAGCTGACTGCTCCTCCCCTGGGGCCACTCTGAAAAGCCATCTCTGCTTTACAGAATACCCAGGGGTGATGGCAGGGACTTGGAAGGGGATACTTAAGGAGTCCTCAAATGTGGACCTAAGGTATTGATTCTGAAGATATTCAGTGCTGTGTTACCATTCATCACATCACCATTTGGATACCCGCTGAATTGCAGGTCTGTGCCAATAATGCATTGATTTTATAATATGTTTGCTCTGTTATTATCCCTGTATGAAGAAGAGATTGTCCCCTTTTGTTTCAAATTCTAACCATTTTTTTATCATCACTCTCTTTGAGCAACTCATGATGTCCTGCTGGTTTTAACGTTCACTGTCTGTAAAAAGATTCCTAGTTTACCTACTGACTGCCATAGGCTGAGTGCCGCGTAGACAGTTTGTCTGAAGGCAGCATTTTAAGGAGGTCCCCACTAACAGAGATAGAAACAGGCACCAGGGAAGGGTTGCTGGCAATATACTCAGCTGCAGCGAATGTTCTTACCTACAGGTGTTTGGAGTGTGATTCACCCAGCAGGGCGCAGATTGACTAAGCAGTCTCATTGCATTAATATCCCTGGCACCTCATTTGAGGTGAGATATGACTTGCTTCAAAGCATTGCTCAAGCATGCAGTGGGCTCCGCTCTGCTGAGTCAGACTCATGATGTTGGCCAAATGCTCCTGGCTTTGGCTGTCAAGACCAAGTGAACTTTAACAACTGACCAGTATTTGTTTTTTAAGGCATGGCCAGCAAACAGAGATTCAGCGGAAGGACTGATGCCAAATTTCAGTGGATGCGTAGCAAACCCTGAGCAAAGGGCTGACTTTGCCCCTCTGCTCTGAGAAGGAGACAAGCTGGGTGCCGTCTCCTAGCCCTGATCTCTCCTCCCAGTCCTTCTGAATTCTTGCCCTAGGCCAACCTGGCACCTCATTTGAGGTGAGATGTGACATGTGCCCTGAGACTCTGAAGTGTCAAGTGGTAGGTGGAGAGGGAGCACATGCCATCAGGATCTCAGATAGTCTGTTCTGTTGACACAACTTGGGTCTGATCATGGGTCCACCATCTTAATAATTATTTTAAATAACACTGGTAGTTGTAGGGACTCCGTAAAGTCAACATGCTGGACCAGGTATCCCATGTACATTAGCTCCTTTAAACCTCACAGCAACCTGCAGGGTAGGTATTATTGACATATTGATGGAATACTATGGGAAGAGGCCCCATAGTGAGCCTGAGACTTCAGAAATGCTCAGGGCTGTGGAGCTCCTTCCTTTTTGGTTGTTGTTGTTTGGTTGGTTCTGATGTGCTCTCACTCTTTGCTTTCTAACCTGGCTCTGCATCCTGTGTCTCTCTCATTCCTCCTTCCCCATCTCAGGTACTCTAGCTTTTCCTGCCCTCCCTTGCACAGCCAGACCTCCTGGCTCTGTGGATCCAGGGGAATTGGCCTGAATCACAGAGAAACTCCCTTATCAGGAAGGGGAAATTGATGATGGGCTCTTGTCAATGTTGATGCTTTCCATCTGCACCTCTTTAGGGATACCAGCTGCTGCCTGCCAGCCCCAGGTGATGTGAAAGGAACAAGCAACCAACCACCACACAGCGGTTTGTAAATTGTATACTATACCTAAAGTTCCCAACCTCCTAGGCGAATGGAAAACCCACCATTCTCACTTGCACAAATGCAAAGTTGTTCAAGAAGTGACTCAAATGGGGAAGAAGAGAGGATCCCAGGCACAGAAGGTATGAAAGAGCAGCTCCAAGGAGAGGGGGGAAAATGGCGGACAGGAGGCAGGACTAAATTGCAGCTTTCACTCGGATGGATAGAGCAGCATGTCGGGAGTCACATTGTGAACTTCTGCTCCAAGAACTACTGCAGGAATATACCAGGAAAGCCAAGAGAATCCACAGACCCTTTGAAGGAAGCGGATTACTCCCGCAGGACCCAGGAGACAGCCCAAATACTGTGCATGCCCAAACTGTGAAAGTGGGAAAGGAGGATCATCCGCCCATGAACGCGTGCCCTCACTGGGGAACCTGAAAGTCCAGATCATGGGAGAAGGATTTGAGCTGAGACAATGTAGACACCTGAGTGAACTACAGAGGTAGAGGAAGCAGCAGGAAAAGCCCTGCAGTCTCTCTGGGTCCCCATGTAAGCCATTTCTGACTTGTCTCACAGGGGTCCCTGGGGAGGGCTGCCAGAGGAACTGGGAAAAGACTACAGGGAGAAGGAAACCTCCAGCTGAACTTTGTAACAATTACAACCAGAGTTTCCTAGCCAGAACTCCGGGTAGGGCATGAATCTGATGTGCAGACTCAACAGGTGGGGAGGCATGAAAGGCCAGGCGCGGTTTCTCAACGCCTGTAATCCCAGCACTTTGGGAGGCCGAGGCGGGCGGATCACGAAGTCAGGAGATCGAGACCATCCTGGCTAACACAGTGAAACCCCGTCTCTACTAAAAATACAAAAAATTAGCTGGGCATGGTGGCACATGCCTGTAATCCCAGCTACTTGGTAGGCTGAGGCAGGAGAATCGCTTGAACCCGGGAGGCGGAGGTTGCGGTGAGCCAAGATCGGGCCACTGCACTCCAGCCTGGGCAACAAGAGCGAAACTCCGCCTCAAAAAAAAAAAAAAAGTCCTGCTTGCTTTCTCAGCCTGGAGGCTGGTAGCCTGGTGCAAGTTCTGAGCCCTGTTCACCCACTGCCTGGAAACAGACTCAGTGCTGGTGAGGTGGGGGGCAGGGGGCATGGTGGAAATGAGACTGGCCTTTTGGGTTGTGCGGGAGCTGGATGAGGCCTGTAACTGCCAGCTTTCCCCGACTTCCTGACAACCTGCATGACACAGCACAGGCAGCCATAATCCTCTTGGGAACACAATTCTATTGACCTGGAACCACACCCCCATTCCCCACAGCAGCCACAGCAAGCCCCTCCCAAGGAGAGTCTGAGCTCAGACATGCCTAGCCGTGCCCCCACCTGATGGTCCTTCCCTACTCACCCTGGTAGCTGAAAACAAAGGGCATATTCTCTTGGGAGTTCTAGGGCTCTGCCCACCACCTGACCCTCCCTTTACTACCACAGCTGATGCTCTCTCGAAAGCGCCACCTCCTGGCAGGAGGGCAACCAGCACAGAACTACAATAAACAACAATAATATAATTAAGGACCCTCCCAGAGTCCATTTCACTCCCCTGCCACCGCCACTGGAGCAAGTGCTGGTATCCATGGCTGAGAGACCTAAAGATAGTTTATATCACAGGACTCTATGCAGACATCTCCTAGTACCAGCCCAGAGCCTGGTAGCCCATCTGGGTGGCTAGATCCAGAAGAGAAATAACAATTACTACCGTTCGGCTCTCAGGAAGCCACATCCCTAGGAAAAGGGGGAGAGGAGAGTACTACATCCAAGGGAGCACCCCATGGGACAAAAGAATCTGAACAGCAGCCTTGAGCCCCAGATCTTCCCTCTGACATAGCCTACCCAAATGAGAAGGAACCAGAAAAATAATTCTGGCAATATGACAAAACAAGGTTCTTTAACACCTCAAAAAAGAAAAAGAAAAAAAACACTAGCTCACCAGCAACAAATCCAAACCAAGAAATGCTTGAATTGCCAGAACAAGAATTCAGAAGGTTGATTATTAAGCTAATCAAGGAGGTACCAGAGAAAGGTGAAGTCCGACTTAAGGAAATTTTTAAAAATATACGAGATATAAAGGGAGAAATCTTCAGTGAGATAGATAGCATAAATAAAAAATAGTCACAACTTCAGGAAATAAAGGACACACTTAGAGAAATGCAAGATGTACTGGAAAGTCTCAGCAATAGAATCAAACAAGCAGAAGAACGAACTTCAGAGCTCGAAGACAAGGTTTTGAAATAACTCAATCCAACACAGACAAAAAAAAAAAAAGAATTTTTAAAAAATTAACAAAGCCTCCGAGAAGTCTGGGGTTATGTTAAATTACCAAACCTAAGAATTGGCATTCCTGAGGAAGAAGAGAAATCTAGAAGTTTGGAAGACATATTTGGGGGAATAATTAAGGAGAACTTCCTCAGCCTTGCTAGAGAGCTAGACATCCAAATACAAGAAGCTCAAAGAACACCTGGGAAATTCATCACAAAAAGATCCTCACCTAGGCACATAGTTATCAAGTTATCCAAAGTCAAGACAAAGGAAAGAATCGTAAGAGCTGTAAGGCAAAAGCATCAGATACCTATAAAGGAAAACCTATCAGATTAACAGCAGATTTCTCAACAGAAACCATACAAGCTAGAAGGGATTGGGGCCCTATATTCAGCCTCCTTAAACAAAACAATTATCAGCCAAGAATTTTGTACCCAGTGAAACTAAGCTTCATAAATGAAGGAAAGATAGTCTTTTTCAGACAAACACACACTAAGAGAATTCATCACTACCAAGCCAGCACTACAAGAACTGCTAAAAGGAGCTCTAAATCTTGAAACAAATCCTGGAAACACACCAAAACAGAACCTCTTTAAAGCATGGGTCTCACGGGATCTATACAACAAAAACACACACAAAAAAACCGAGGTATTCAAGCAACAAATAGCATGATGAATTGAATAGTACCTCACATCTCAATACTAACATTGAATGTAAATGGTCTAAATGCTCTGCTTAAAAAATACAGAATTGCAGAATGGATAAGAATTCACCAACTAAGTGTCTGCTACCTTTAAGAGACTCACCTAACACATAAGGACTCACATAAACTTAAGGTAAAGGGGTGGAAAAAGATATTACATGTAAATGGACACCAAAAGTGAGTAGGAATAGCTATTCTTATATCAGACAAAACAAACTTGAAAGCAACAGCAGTTAAAAAAGACAAAGAGGGACATTATATAATGATGAAAGGCCTTAACAGGAAAATGTCACAATCATCCTAAATATACATGCACCTAATGCTGGAGCTCCCAAATTTATAAAACAAATACTGCTAGACATAAGAAATGGGATAGCAACACAATAATAGTGGGGGACTTCAATATTCCACTGACAGCACTAGACAAATCATCAAGACAGAAAGTCAACAAAGACATACTGGGTTTAAACTATACCCTAGAACAACTTGACTTAACGGATATTTTACAGAATATTCTACCCAACAACCACAGAATATACATTCTATTTCATCAGTGTGGCCGACTGCCACAGCTACTACTTGAGACCCTCATTGCAGCAATTATTACTGTTACTGCTTGAGACCGTCATTACAAGACTGAACAAAGGGATGAACGTAGAAATGGTAACAAAAAACAAAAGTAACTATTTTAAGGAAAGGCTAGCATGGGGAAGAAGAAGAGAAGAGAAAAAGAAAAGAAAAGGGCTCCCTGCTTCTAGTGAGCAAAGGCAGCTGCCGAGCTTCCACAGCCCTTCTTATATATTAGGTAACAAGAGCAAGAAGGAGGAGGTAATGATTGGTTAGCTGTTTACTTGCTCACAGGTTCTCATTATTGCTAACAGGCTTCAATTATGCCTAATCATAAGAAATACTTGTGCAGCCTCCAACACATCAGCACATGGAATTTTCTCTAAGATAGACCATATGATTGCCACAAAACAAGTCTCAATAAATTTAAGAAAACTGAAATTATGTCAAGTACTCTCTCAGACCACAGTGGAATAAAACTGGAAATTAACTCCAAAAGGAAACTTCAAAACCATGCAAATATATGAAAATTAAATAACCTGCTCCTGAATGATCACTGGGTCAAAAATAAAATCAACATGAAAATTTAAAACCTTTGAACTAAACTACAGTAATGACACAACTTATCAAAACCTCTGGGATACAAGCAAAGGCAGTGCTAAGAGGAAAATTCATAGCCTTAAATGCCTACATCAAAAAGTCTGAAAAAGCACAAATAGGCAATCTAAGACCACACCTCAAGGAACTAGAGAAACAAGAACAAACCACCTCCAAGCCCAGCAGAAGAAGAGAAATAACCCAGATCAGAGAAGAACTAAATGAAATTGAAACAACAACAAAAAAAAATACGAAAGACAAATGAAACAAAAAGCTGGTTCTTTGAAAAGATAAATAAAATTGATAGACCATTAGAAAGATTAACCAAGAAAAGAAGAGAGAAGATCCAAATAAGCACAGCTGGAAATGAAATGGGAGATATTACAACCAACGCCACAGAAATACAAAAGATCATTCAAGACTACTACTGTGAACACCTTTACACACATAAACTAGAAAACCTAGAGGAGATGGATAAATTCCTGGAAATATACAACCCTCCTAGATTAAGTCAGGAAGAATTAGAAACCCTGAACAGACCAATAACAAGGAGCAAGACTCAAATAATAATTTAAAAATTACCAACAAAAAAAAAAGTCCAGGACCAGATGGGTTCACAGCTGAATTCTATCAGACATTCAAAGAAGAATTGGTACCAATCCTATTAACACTATTCCACAAGACAGAGAAAGAGGGAATCCTCCTAAATCATTCTATGAAGTCAGTATCACCCTAATACCAAAACCAGGAAAGGACATAATAAAAAAAGAAAACTACAAACCAACATCTCTGATGAACATAGATGCAAAAATCATAAATGCTAGTGAACCAAATCCAACAGCATATCAGAAAGATAATCCACCATAATCAAGTGGGTTTCATACCAGGGATGCAGGGATGGTTTAACATATGCAAGTCAATAAATGTAATACCACATAAAGAGAATTAAAAACAAAAATCACATGATCATCTCAATAGATGCAGAAAAAGCATTTGACAAAGTCCAGCATCTCTTTATGATTAAAACCTTCAGCAAAATCAGCATACAAAGGATACACCTCAGTGTAGTAAAAACTGTCTATGACAAATCCACAGCCAACATAATACTGAATGGGGAAAAGTTGAAAGCATTCCTTCTGAGAACAAGACAAGGATGCCCACTCTCACTACTTCTATTCAACATAGTACTGGAGGCCCTAGCTAGAGCAATCAGACAAGAGAAACAAATAAAGGACATCCAGATCAGTAAAGAGGAAGGCAAACTGTTGCTGTTTGCTGATGATATAATCGTAAACCTAGAAAACCCTAAAGACTCCTCCAAAAAGCTCCTAGAACTGTTAAATAAATTCAGCAAATTTCAGGATACAAAATTAATGTACACAAATCAGTAGCTGTGCTATACACCAACAGCGACCAAGTTGAGAATCAAATCAAGAACTCGACCCTTTTTACAAATGCTGCAAAAATCAAATAAAATAAAATACTTTGGAATATACCTAAACAAGGTGAAAGCCATCTACAAGGAAAACTACAAAACACTGCTGAAAGAAATCATAGACAACACAAACAAATGGAAACACATCCCCTGCTTATGGATGGGTAGAATCAATATTGTGAAAATGACCATACTGCCAAAAGCAACCTACAAATTTAATGAAATTCCCATCAAAATGCTACCATCATTCTTCACAGAACTAGTAAAAACAATCCTAACATGTGGAACCAAAAAAGAGCTCACATAGCCAAAGCAAGACTAAGCAAAAAGAGCAAATCTAGAGGCATCACACTACCTGACTTCAAACTATACTATAAGGCCATAGTCACTAAAACAGCATGGTACTGGTATAAAAATAGGCACATAGACCAACGGAACAGAATACAGAACCCAGAAGTAAACCCAAATACTTATAGCCAACTGATCTTGGACAAAGCAAACAAAAACATAAAGTGTGGAAAGGCCACCCTATTCAACAAATGGTGTGGGGATAATTGGCAAGCTGCATATAGGAGGATAAAACTGAATCTTCATCTCTCACCTTACACAAAAATCAACTCAAAATGGATCAAGGAACTAAATCAAAGATCTGAAACTATAAAAATTCTAGAAGATAACATTAGAAAAACCCTTCTAGACATTGGCTTAGGCAAAGACTTCATGACCAAGAACCCAAAAGCAAATGCAACAAAAACAAAAATAAATAGGTGGGACTTAATTGAACTAAAGAGCTTCTGCACAGCAAAAGGAAGAGTCAGCAGAGTAAAGAGACAACCAACAGAGTGGGAGAAAAATCTTCACAACTTGTAATCCTACAAAGGACTAATATCCAGAATCTACAACAAACTCAAACAAATTAGCAAGAAAGAAACAAACAGTCCCATCAAGAAGTGGGGTAAGGACATGAATAGACAGTTCTCAAAAGAAGATATACAAATGGCCAACAAACATATGAAAAAATGCTCAACATCACTAATGATAAAGGAAATGTAAATGAAAACCGCAATACAATACCATCTTACTCCTGCAAGAATAGCCATAAATCATAAAAGCAAAAAATAATAGATGTTGGCATGGATATGGTGAAAAGGGAACACTTCTACACTGTTGGTGGGAATGTAAACTAGTACAACCACTATGGAAAACAGTGTTTTATTTAAAGTTTAATAGTTAAAGAAATAAAAGTAGAACTTCCATTTGATCCAAAAGTCCCATTACTGGGTATATACCCAGAGGAAAAGAAGTCATTATTAAAAAAAGATACTTGCATACGCAAGCTTATAGCAGCACAATTCGCAATTGCAAAAAATATGGAACCAGCCCTAATGCTCATCAATCAATGAGTGGATAAACACATTGTTTATGGAATACTACTCAGCCATAAAAAGGAAAGAACTAATGGCATTTGCGCTACCTGGATGGAGCTGGTAACTATTATTCTAAGAGAAGTGACTCAGGAATGAAAACAACAAACATCGCATGTTCTCACTCATAAGTGGGAGCTAAGCAATGAGGATGCAAAGGCATAAGAATAATACAGTGGAATTTGGGGACTCAGGAGAGAGGGTGGGAGGAGGGTGAGGGATAAAAGACTACAAATTGGGTTCAGCGTTTACTGCTCAGGTGATGCATGCACCAAAATCTCCCAAATCACCACTAAAGGACTTACTTATGTAACCAAATACCACCTGTTCCCCCTCAAACCTATGGAAATTTTTTAAAAAATTAATGCAATAAAAAAAAAGAAAAGAAAGAGCAGCTTCAAGACCCACAGAGATGTCCCCAAGACCCCTTAAAGGCTTAGAAACATATGTGGGTGTCAACATGAGAGACCCTCTAGGCATCTCCAGAATCTCTTCTACAGTGATATTGGAGGAGGTGATTCTAATAGTGAATCAGAATTCACCTCCAACACATCCTGGTCTTGGAATATTCCAATTCAAACATGGGTTTTTAACCCATGTTCCTGTTTCCTGTCCTGTTAGCCCACACTGCACCCAGTTATGCTGAGGAGCAATTAGGGCGACAGACAGATGACGGGTTTCTACATGTTTGGAAAGAGCATATATTTTGGGAGCCACTCTTGACCACCATACTTTCAGCATCCTCCAGGCAGCTTTACTGTGGATACCCCAAGACACTTCTTTCTGAGCAGGGCACATAGCTGTGGCTCATCAAGACTGCACTCAAGCTCTGGGAGAAAAAGGGAAACCAGTTGCACCCGGGAAGCAAATCAGCAAGTGGAAAGTAACCCAAGGACACGTGTGGACAGAACCCTTCCACTGTCTCCCATTTCTTTGCCCACTGCTTTCCAGGCTGTGCCTACCTAGGAGCAAGTATGACAGCCTTTGTCAAAAAAATCAGACCATCCCAGCCTCCTGTGTGCTCCAGCCACTTTGAGCCACAGAACCATCTGAGTACGGCATTGCCCTCATCTCTCGCCTCACTTCCATCCAATTCCACAGTCCAATTTCTTGATTCAAACTTGACTTTATTCAGGCTTATTTGCCCCCCTTCCAAATCACAAGCATTACTCTGGCTTTTAAAATCTAAATGTATCAAGGCTCAAGGCATGTGGGGTGGATTCCTGCCTATTCCACTGGCCTTATCTATTGCTCTATTCTTATAGCATCAAGCTCCTTTTCATTGTGTCCCCTTTGACTGGAAGGCCCTTCTCCCCACTCTTTAAAAGATTAGCTTATCTTCCTTTAGGTTTCGGTCCAATTTTACTTTCTCTAGAGACCATCCTGAAAACCCATTAATACCCCCCTGCAACCACGTACCTGCCACAGTGAGATAGAAAGTATGATATGGTTTGGCTGCATCCTCACCCAAATCTCGTCTTGAATTGCAGCTCCCATAA
This sequence comes from Homo sapiens, assembly GCF_000001405.40. NCBI lineage: Eukaryota > Metazoa > Chordata > Mammalia > Primates > Hominidae > Homo > Homo sapiens. Next base: position 234,195,748 of record NC_000001.11, read on the forward strand.
TTCCCATGTGTTGTGGGAGGAACCCAGTGGGAGACAACTGAATCATGGGGGCGGTTTCCCCCATACTGTTTTCATAGTAGTGAATAAGTCTCACAAGATCTGATGGTTTTATAAAGGGAAACCCCTTTCACCTGGCTTTCATTCTCTCTCTTGTCTGCCACCATGTAAGACATGCCTTTCGCCTTCCACCGTGATTGTGAGGACTCCCCAGCCACGTGGAATTGTGAGTCCATTAAACCTCTTTTTCTTTATAAATTACCCAGTCTTGGGTATGTTTTTATCAGCAGTGTGGAAATGGACTAATACAAGGTGGGACTGGACTCCCCAGAGGAGGGGCTCAGACACTGGACCAAACTGAGAACTAGGGATGGGGCAGAAGCAGCTTTCCCTAGGACACGCCCACCAGTGTGTCATGTTAATTTACCATTGCCATGGCAACACCCAAAAATTACTGCCCCCTTCCATGGCAACAACCTCATGACCCAGAAGTTACTCCTCTTTTCCAAGAAATTTCTGCGTAATCTTCCCCTTAATTTGCATGTAATTAAAAGTGGATATAAATATGGCTGCAGAACTGCCTCCAAGCTGCTACCCTGGGCACACTGCCTGTGGGGTAGCCCTGCTCTGCAGTGAGCAGTACCTCTGCTGCTGCTGCTGCTGTACACTCTGCCACTAAAATAAAAGTTGCTGCCTAACACCACTGGCTCACCCTTGAATTCTTCCCTGAGTGAAGCCAAGAGCCCTCCTGGCACTAAGCCCCAATCTGGGGGTTTGCCTGCCCTGCATCAACATCACCCAACATCCTTCTTTTACTTGTTCACTGCCTGGCTCCCCACTAACATGTAAGCCCGAGGAGGGCAGATTCTGGAAATGTTGTCTGTATTGCTGTATCCTGTCAAAGACAAACATAGGCTGGGCATGGTGGCTCACACCTGTAAGCCCAGCACTTCAGGAGGCTGAGGTGGGCGGATCACCTGAGGTTAGGAGTTCGAGACCAGCCTGGCCAAGATGGTGAAACCTCGTCTCTACTAAAAAAATACAAAAATTAGCCAGGCGTGGTGGCACATGCCTGTAATCCCAGCTACTCCGGAGGCTGAGGCAGGAGAATTGCTTGGACCTGGGAGGCGGAGGTTGCAGTGAGCCAAGATAGTGCCACTGCACTCCAGCCTGGGCAACATAGCAAGACTCCATATTGGGAAAAAAAAAGAAAGACAAAGATAAACATAGCTGGACATTAGTTAAGGCAGTAAAAACAGATTTTATGCAATAACTGCTGTCAGTAAAGGAAAGAACTGAGCTTCAATCTGATTAATGCAGAGGTGACTGGGCATTTTAAAGGGTCTTGAGCAGAGTTAGGGAAATGAAAAATTATAAAAGTTATAAAAAGTGATAAGGGGAAGTTGATCCATGTGAAACTCATCTGGGTTTGCTAACTGGTGCATATCAAAGTTAGGCTCCTACCCACTCCCACTGAGGCTGGGAGACAGGGACCCTATCATGAGGTGTTGCTGGAACAAACAGTAAACTCTTTGGGCAGCCTTGAGTTTTCTCAGACAGGCACTTCAAGGGGGAGGGGAAGGCCATCTGGGGGATAAGGCTTTGTGCTGTTAGAAACTCTATTAGTGTTTGTTCAAGTCCTTCCAGGGCAAAGGTGAGGGCTAGTGGAGAAGAGGACTCAGAGGAACCTGGTCAAGGAGAGAGTTCGGTTAAGGAGAGTCAATCAATCTCCAGCACAGTGCCTGGTACATAGTGAGTGCTCATAAAACATTTATTGGACCAATGAACAAATGAGTGAATGACTAACGGGAGGATGAACCCCCTCCATGATCACTCCCTGATGTGGAGAGGGAGCAAGAAGGGTGCTGGGGGAAGTGAGAGGGGCAGTTCTCCTGCCCACAAGAACCCCAGGGTAGAGGGTGGCAGCTCAGCAGAGCTCAGCCCTCAAGCCTGCTCTCACTCCCCACGGAGGGCTGCAGTCCTTGCAAAGTGGGGCATAGCAGAGATGCTAGAATCTTCATTGACCTTAACTCAATAACATCAATTTGAGGGAAAAGAAATTTCAAAAGCACCAGCATCAGGTTGTAATGTGAGCATGTTTGCAGCAATAACACATCTGTTGTGTTGAAAAACCAACAAGAAAAACAGAAACACCTGAACAACACCTACATTTTTTATTCTTGACAAGATCAAATAGGTTTATTCCTCCAATAAGCTACACAAACTCTGGTCATAATTAGCACTTGGCTGTGAGAAGCCTCTGCCAGATTTTTCTGTCACCTGTGATATGCTGTAAACATAAAACACAGGATGGGCATCTGACAGATGGTTAACCTGTGAGTCTCAACTCTGCAGAGTGATTTTAGAGGAAAAGGGAAGGAAATACCTAGCACAGCAGTGAACAGGTGTTCTTGATTAGCACCTTTTGCTCAGGTAAGAAATGATTTCCTGTGAAGGCTTTTTGGTCATTTTCATGTTGATTATATGGATTATGTACAGTATTTCTTGACAAAGATGAAACATTTCCTAGGAAAAGTGTGCTGGATGAGAGTGCAGAACATTGATGTTTTGGGGAGGATTTCACTTTGAATTATTATGCATAATGCTGCTCTGAACATTTATGCACAAGTTTCTGTACAGACATATGTTTTCTTTTCTTATGGGTATATACCTAGAAGTGGAATTGCTGGGTAGTATAGTAATTCTGTTTACTCTTTTGAGGAAGTGCCAGGCCATTTTCCAAAGTGGATTTCCACCAGCAGTGGATGAGGACTGTAATTTCTCTACATCCTCTCCAACAGTTGCTATTGTCTGCTTTTTTTATTCTAGCCATTCTAGCAGGTATGAAGTGGTACCTCATTGTGTTTTTTTAAAATTAATTAGTTTTGTTCATCAACAATTAATAATTATATATATGTATGGGGTACAATGTGATGTTTTGATCTATGCATACATTGTAGAAAGATTAAGTCAAGATCGTTAACATGCCTCATTAACTTACCATTTTTTGTGGTGAGAATGTAAAGAATCTATTCTTTAGCAATTTTGAAATATATAATACATTAATATTAACTGTGGTCACCATTCCCTGAATAGCCAAAGATATCTTGAGCAAAAAGAACAAAGCTGGAGGTATCACACTACCTAATTTCAAAATATATTATAAAGCTATTGTAATCAAAACAGCATGGCAGCTGGGTGCAATGGCTCATGTCTATAATCCCGGAACATTGGGAGACCAAGGCAGAAGGATACCTTGATTCCAGGAGTTCAAGCCTAGCTTGGGCAACATAGTGAGTCCTTATTTCTACAAAAAAAAAAAAAAAATTAAAAACTGGCCAGTTATGGTGGTGCATGCCTATAGTCCCAGCTACTCTGGAGGCTGAGATGGGAGGATTGCTTAAGCTCGGGTGTTTAAGGCTGCAGTGAGCTATGATTGCACCACCACACTCCAGCCTGGGCAACAGAGTGAGACCCTGTCTCGAAAAAAAGAAAACGAAAAGAAAAAAAACAAAAGTCGTAATGGCACTGGCATGACGACAGACACATCAACCAGTGGAACAGGATATAAAGCCCAGAAGTAAACCCAAGTATTTATGGGCAATTTATTTTCAATAACAGTGCCAAGAAGACACAATGGGGAAAGAGCAGTCTCTTCAATAAATGGTGCTGGGAAAACTGTATGTTCATTCACATGCAGAAGAATGAAATTGGACCTTATCTCAGACATTATATACAAAAAAATCAACTCAAAGTAGATTAAAGACAAATGTAAGACCTGCAATTGTAAAGCTCCTAGAAGAAAACATAGGAGAAAGACTTTGTGACATTGGTCTGGGCAATGATTTTTTGGTTGACTCCAAAAGCATAGGCAACAAAAGCAAAAACAGTCATATGGGATTACATCAACATAAAAAGTTTCTGCACAGCCAAGGAAATGACTAACAGAATGAAGAAACAATCCACAGATTGGAAGAAAATATTTGCAAACCATACATCTGATAAGGGGCTAATATACAAAAAAATAAGTAACTCAAACAACTCAATAGCAAGAAAACAAATAATCCAATTAAAAAACGGGCAAAGGACCTGAACAGGCATTTGTCAAAAGAAGAGATACAAATGGTCAACAGGTATATGAAAAAATGCTCAACATCTCTATCAGGTAAATGCAAGTTAAAACCACAATGAGCTATTACCTCATACCTGTTAGAATGCAGTTACCAAAAAGGTGAATAATAGCACACGTTTGGTGAAGGTGCAGAGTAACAGGGACAACACACTGTTGGTGGGAATGTAAATTAATATCACCATTTCAGAAAAGAGTATGGAGGTTCCTTCAAATCTAAAAATAGAACTACCATATGATCCAGTAACCCCACTTCTGGGTATAGAGCCAAAGGAATTAAAATCACTACGTCAAAAAAAATGTCTGTGTTCTCATGTTTATCGAGGTTTTGATTTGCATTTCTCTGATGGCTAATGACGTTAAGCATCTTTTCATGTGTTTGTTGGCCTTGGTATATCTTCTTTGGGGAAATACTTCTTCAGATTCTTTGCCCATTTTTTAATTGGGTTGTCTTTTTATTTTTGAGTTATAAGAGTTCTTCACATATTCTAGATGCTAATTTCTTATTAGATATATAATTTGCAAATATTTTCTCCTATTCTATGGGTTGTCTTTTCAATGCTTTGATGGTGAGAAGCATGAGTTTGCTGTTGTGCTGAATGCCTTCCTTTCTGACAAAACTGCCTGATAGCCTTACCAGATGCCCTAATTCACCCATCATCTCTCCCAGGAGCCTCACATTTTCCAAAAAACTTCCACTTGGATCTGAGATGCACTTACATGGCCTTTTATTTCTTAAAATTAAGTATTTTTTTTTCCTAAAGGCACAATTTCCTTTCCCAAAAGGAGTCATTTCAAAGACACTATAATTTCCTGAATCTTGTCCAAAGTTTAAAACTGATATCCAAGAAGGAGTGGCCTCTTTATTTTACCTCCAGAAATGTCTCTGAAATGCAGGCAGGTCCCATCAATCTAAAATACTCTCGGCTTCATTGCAGCTGCAGCTGCGAGACAGACCTCGTCATTTTGGCTGTTTATGCACTTCTGGAGGTATATTTAGGTTGCTTCTATTTAGTGTTCCCAGAATAGCCATAGTTTTTTGTTTCTCTATCATCCTCTTAGTTTTATTCCTTCCTGTCCCAAACTGCGGGTGATATACAAGATGATTTCCAAAACCCTTTCTACCTCAGAAAGTCTATGCTCTTAAACAGTGTCCAGGCCCTCCTTTGCAGGAGCACAGTATATCATCTCTAGCCATAACCCACAGTCCACTAGCAAGCAGCAGAGAACAGTCACCAAATGCAGGAGAGGCCCCATGGCTCATAACTGAATTGGGCTCATGTACTCCAAATCCCAGTGTGATTTGATCACTACTATTTAAATTCATAGACAAGTATCCTATGAATTAATATGTAATGTGCTTGGATGAAGACAAACTTGGGTTTACCTATATCATTTCTGGGCAGGGCTGTAGCTAAACATTTTGCAGTGAAAGTGATTTTTGATTCCAGTTCATGCTAACAAGTTAAGCTGACATATTTGATAGCTTCAACTAGCTCCATGGGTGGTCGAGTAAAGTTTTTTGTGCTTCATGTTGTCCATCCCATTAATAAATCAAATAATGCTGCAGGTACCATGGTTACATGTGCCTTAAATTTTGAGAACGACACTGCCAGAGACAGATTTTCAAATTACAAACATCCTTCATATCTTAGATGATGTATTAGGTTGCTACAAATCCCAAATTAGAATCCTGCTATCAATAGAGCATTTAATGCCCACTCACTTTAAATAAGCAATCAAAGTTAAAATAAAAATCAGTGAGCTTCTCCTATGAGTATTTCCCACAAATTCAGCTCAGCAGAGAGCTCTTCTGAGGACGGTCCCCACCCCCAGGAGTGAAATACAAGACTTGAATGGGTTGATGCCTGATAGTTTTCTGCTGACGATGTTTTTGGTTTTGCGTGTGGTTTTTTCCATCTTTGTAGTTTTACAAAAAGCAATGGTTTAAAGAAGGGGTTAACAGGAGGTGGAGCTTGTAGTGAGCCGAGACTGCGCCACTGCACTCCAGCCTGGGCTACAGAGCTAGACTTCTTCTCAAAAAAAAAAAAAAAAAAAGAAGGAGTTAAGGTGTGTGCAAATGCAAAAGCAAAGACATGGAATCAACCTAAATGCCCATCAATGCTAGACTGAATAAAGAAAATATAGTACATATACACCATGGAATACTATGCATATAGTATAAAAGGAACAAGCTATAAAAAGGAAAAAGATCACGTCCTTTGCAGGGACATAGATGGAGTTGGAAGCCATTATCCTCAGCAAACTGATGCAGGAACAGAAAACCAAACACCACATGTTTCACTTATAAGTCGGAACTGAATGATGAGAACACATGGACATGTGGTGCAGAACAACACATACTAGGGTCTGTCGGGCAGTGGGGGTGGGAAATAGAAATAAAATAAAATAAAACCTTTTTTTAAAAAGGTGTGTGCAAATGCTCAGGGCCATGTTTTAAACAGTGGCAAAGAAAAAAAGTTGAGAGACAAGGGGGAAGTCTTGAATTGTGTCATAGTTTGTTCATTTGAGCTTTAACATATCAAAGCCAAATAAATTTACACCAAGAAGTATTTATATTGATAAACAATATGTAATGGGAAACTACAAACCCATTTGTAAACACCATATCTAAATAATAATTTCTAACCAGTGCGCCCTGAGGCTGATGCCTGTGAATGACGTGCTGAAAGGGATGAAAGCAATGCATTGAGGGGCTGTTTTGCTGTCTTTCCCACCACTGTGCCAGAACACAAGCCTCCTTCATGGGCGGGAGCCCTCCGCATTTCAAGCAGCTGCCATTCCAAGGTGCCAGGGCACCACAGAGATTGGCCAGGATGTGAGGAGATGGCCTGTGCACCTGTCTAAGACAGATAACAATACAATAGCCTCTTCACTCACACATACTCAAAGGAAAAGTAAAAAACCTTATGTCAGCTGAAATGAAGAGATTGGGGAGAGGACTAGGAAAGGCTGCAATGAGGCTGCAGCAAAGACAGAAGCATCCTAAAGAAGCAGCAGGAAGAAAAGGGAACTAACTGCTCCTTGCTGAAACACCAATAGAGAGGGGCACCTGGGTGGAAGAGCAACCATGACTCTCCCCAGCTCAGAGCTCTAGCTATGGATTCCTTCATTCCTGAAGGAATGGTTGCAGAAAACCAATACTGTCATTAAAAGCATCTCTCACCTTCTCCTTTCTCCATGTTTCATTACCAGCATGTTCTGAAAATTTATATTGCAAGAAAAAATAAAAAGGATGTGAGGAAACAAAATATTTAAAATATGGAAAATGGGAGTGATCATTTACTTTTGTTGCTTTAATAAATATACTTATAAAAAGACAAAGGGACAATGACATTAAAAGCACAGACTTAAAAGAGTTTTACATTTTAAAAAACAGAAATTGTCAAAATATTTTAAAAGTGAAAAGTTTCCTTCTTCTCTTACACATTCTAGTTCATGAAGACGTTTCCCATTTTTATTCTCATTTGTACCTGTTTACAAGAGACTCATTTTTTAGCCCCTTTAAACTATTCTTAAGCATCAAGAATGGTTTTGGCCAGGCGCAAGGGCTCATGCCTGTAATCCCAGCACTTTGGGAAGCCAAGGTGGGAGGATCATGAGGTCAGGAGTTCGAGACCAGCCTGACCAATATGGTGAAACCCCATCTCTACTAAAAATAGAAAAATTAGCCAGATGTGCTGGCATGTGCCTGTAATCCGAGCTTCTCAGGAGGCTGAGGCAGGAGAATCACTTGAACCTGGGTGGCAGAGGTTGTGGTGAGCCGAGATCACGCCACTGCACTTCAGCCTGGTGACAGAGCAAGACTCCATCTCAAAAAAAAAAAAAGAATGGCTTCAACCCAATCCCCCAGTGAACCGAATTTTAAAAGCAGACAAGCTTCTCTGTCAGAGAAGTCTCAAGGAAAAAATAACTCACTGTTGTTACTTATGGTAGTTAGAACACATGAAAACTTTTAAAAAGTGGAAGTTTATTCAATTTTTTTCTGAATATATATGAGGTAGGTATAGATAATATGTAGCTAACATACGTACACACATATGTTGAGTTATATGATCTACATAAGGGAATATGTAGTATGCATACGGACTATGTGGGCTGTCAAATGCATGCCTTTTTTCCTCTCTAGCATTTTCCCTGTGTTATTGAATAACTTATTTTCTTAGCTGTCTTATAATCTTTTGTGTAAATACACCATACTTTATTTCCCATTTCCCTTCTGATGAACATTTAGGTTATTTCCAGTGTATTAATAGCAATAAAACTTAGATGAACATCTTTGAAGCTTATCTATATTCACATCAGTTTATTTTTTAGAAAAAAAAATAGAAACGGTGAATAAGAGGCCAGAACTTTGATATATATTATCAACCTTCTAAAAAGATATATCAATTTTTATTCTCATCAGCAGTACATGGAATTTCTAAAGATAATCATCTTAAAAGCAAAACAGATTGACAAAAACCCAAAAACAAATTTGGTCTAGATCATGTTGAAAGGTTCCCATCAAGCTACAACATTATTATCTTGTTGATACACTCTGACATACACAAACCCAGCGTGATTCCCCTGCCAAGGACTCTGGGCTGGTCACAATTACGATGGCCCTAAAGCTTCACCTCAGATGCACCCCTGGAGCCCTGAGGAGCTCACCTTTGTCCTAATGCCTAAGGAGCTATCTGTTAGAAGGTAGTTTAGGAAGCCACAGCCAGAAACACTGTGGCACCAACTAGATAATTTTAGGAACAAACCATGTATACATTTAGCCCTCCAAACCCTGCCGGGAACTCTAGGGAATTATTGGGGATTCAGTTGACTTTTTGCCGTACACTAACAAATCCATCTTTGGGAAAAGGCATGACCCACAGTGGCTCAATCAGGAGCAGGACACACCTCTACACCTCATCTCTTTTTGCTTTCATCCAGCTTTAGCAGGGCCTTCTCTTTCTGCTTCACAGAAAGGAACAGGCTTTGCCTTAAGCAGGATTTTGGGTTGTTTGCTTGCTTTTGCAAAAAGCAAGGTGTGTTGCCCAAATCTGATTAAATTTTGGAACATCTCTCTCCCTTTTTCCTGCAGCTACTCTTCTGGTGACTAGTGCAATTTCTTATGAATACAACTGACTCTAAATGCCTAGTGTAAGCCAACAAATATGTGAAAAACAAGGGAGAAAGAGCCACCCTCAGTGCTTGTTGGTGGAAACACACAATTATTTCTTTGGAGCACTTTATATTTTTTTGGCCAATAGGGTCATTTGGCAATCTGTGATGTGCAAAATTTTCACTCCCATTCAGTGAGTTCCCAGGACAGTTCTAGTGGACTTGGGTGGGCCGCACTCTGAGGTAATGGTCTCAGCATGTCCTGCCTTTGGGGAGTATTACTGATCACAGCTCACCTTCATGATTACTAAGCAGAAACATAGCGCCAGGAACAGAATGGCTTCTTTCGGTGAGGTGGTAGCCCAAGAGACAGTGCTCAAAATTGCTTGAACCCGAGAGGCAGAGGTCGCAGTGAGCTGAGATCGCGCCAGTGCACTCCAGCCTGGGCAACAGAGTGAGACTCCGTCTCAAAGCAGAGACAATGCCTGAGAACAGCTAGCACCAGGAATGCTGGAGTTGTACTTGAACTCCCTCCCACTTGGAGAATCTAGGCTTGCTGGACTCCACTAGGGCTCTGACCTTTCTCTGAAGCCAGTCTGAGGGGCAGAAACAGCTAGAAGCCTAGAGAAAGGCATGAGGGCTTCCAATAAAAGAAACTCTGCCAAGAGTCAAACCCAGTGCTATGAGGAGTTGTTCTTTGAGATAGATGGAGAGAAGCGTGCACCAATATCCAGAAGAAAATTCCTCACTAGAGGCAAAGTAAGCCAGCACCAAGCCCTCAGGAAAGCAAACAGAGCAAGGAGGAGGGTTTTAGGAGCCAGAAATCCAGGGGCCTCCCCCTGCCTGAGCAGATAGCAGAAGACACTCCCCAAGAGGCTCCTCTTGCCTGAGATGACCAGGGGACCTGGGGGTGCAGGGGGTGGTGGGTGAGGGGTCCGTGTAGAGGAAGGAGGAGAAGAAGGCTATGTTGGGAGGAAGGACCTGCTGCTGAGGGCACGCTGTGGATGAGGAGGATGGTGTGGAGAGGGAGGACTTGCTGGTGAGGATGTTATAGGGATGAGGGGCACGTGGCAGCTGGGGGAGCTAGGAAATGCGGAGAGGCAGGGAGATGTGACAAGTACTTTTCAGCACCTCTCTGTGTGACACTCCATAAACCCACTGCACCACTCCTACATGGAAAACACTGCAGAGTTTTTGTGATCTTTGCAGGCATCTGGTGTTTATATGATGAGTGGAGCAGCAGAGCTGGGTCAGGCTGGGTCAGGCATTAAGAGGGCCTGGTTATTTCCTAGATCCACTGGCCTAAGCACGCAGTCGGGGAGGAGAGCCGGTTTCTCAGGTAGCAGAAAAGAAACCAGCGGGGGATGAGGGACAGTGTGAGGAGCAGGGTGCCCAGAGGCATCCGGCACCCAAAGGGTTCTCACTGTGCGGCGCTCCTTTGAGTCATGGCAGGACTTTCCTGGTTCCTGGGGGTGGGGGGGACTATTTCCAAGGGACGCTATTTCCCGGGGGGGGGCTATTTCCAGGGCTCACATTGCCTGCATCCAAAGACGTGCCCACCTTGACCCCTGGAAAAGTCCTGCTTATTTCTGCCCTAGTGACTTTCCACGCATTCGTTCACTCAACAATGATTATTGATATCCTGTTTACTACCAAGGTCCCCACCGTAGAGAGTTGACAGCCCAGCAGGAAGCTGTAGCAAGTATACAAATAACTTCAAAGCAAGCCAGAACATGATGGCTGCCTTCGGAGAGAGGCAAAGGGCTTCGCAGTGCGTAGGAGACCCCTATCTCAGAGATCAGGACTTCTGAAACTGGGTCTGCCCAACGTTGAGCCTCCGAGGACCTCATTGAACAAGACCTTGCCTGCAGGTCCCGGCCAGCCTGTGCTCAGGAATAACTAAGGAGTGGAGCCGCATCAACCTCCTTCCCAAATCCGGACGTCTTCCTCCGACTCAAGCCCAGCCTGAGGGCCATTCTCCTTGATTCACCCTTGGAAACAGACACCAGCCAAGGGAGCTGTCTCCTGGCGTTGACGAGGATCCGATTTAGGTCAGTATTCTAGTTCCCACTCCACAGAGGAATCTGACTGGAGGCCAGCTGTGGTCGATGAGTCATCCGGAACACAAGCAGGCAGCTATTTCCGAACTAAATGGCATCTGATCTCCCTCCTCACCTTGAGTCCAGTGCCCTGGTCTCCAAAAAAAGCTTCCTCTGAGATCAAGCCAGGGAGAGAGATACAGAGACCTGAGCAGAGGGGAGCCACCGTGGCTTCATCACTCCTGGTGCCATGCAGGCAGCAAAGGAACATCTGGAATAAAGCAGGCAATTCTAGAAGATTCTAGAATTCCAGGTCCTGTTAATAGACTGCCTCCATCCTTTACCTTTTTTCCTTCCATCCTTCCTTCCTCCCTCCCTCCTTCCTTTCTCCCTCCCTCTTTCCTGCTTCCTTTTTTCTTCTTTCCTTCCTTCCTCCTCAAGGATCGATTTAATTAACTGGAGACATGAAAGATAATGGTTAAGATCTTTGTAGGCAGTGACAATTGTAATACCTAGGACAATAATTTCATATACCCCAAATTTTAAAGGCTAACAAGACCTAGGAGATTACCTAGTTGGTGGTTTTCTAAACTTTCTTTTAGCCATGACATCTCTTTTATAAACCAATTCTAACATAGTACTCCAACAAATAAAAGTAGAGTTGCTTTGCAGAGACCAAGAAACAGTTTGGGCTGGGCATGGTGGTCATGCCTATAATCCTAGTGCTTTGAGAGTCCAAGGCAGGAGGATTGCTTGAGACCAGGAGTTTTAGACAAGCCTGGGCAACATAGTAAGCTCACATCTCTACAAAAGAAATAATTTTTAAAAATTAGTCAGGTGTGATGGTGCACACCTGTAGTCCTAGCTGCTCAGGAGGCTTAGGTGGAAAGATTGCTTGAGCCTAGGAGTTCAAGGCTGCAGTGAGCTGTGATCACATCATGGCACTGCAGCCTGGGCATCAGAGCAAGATCCTGTCTCTTTTATGAAAGAAAAAAAGAAAAGAAAAATATACAGCTGGAAAACTGCCAAAGGTGTCCAATTCTTTCAGGCCCATATCAGGAAACTGAGGCCAGAGGAGACTTGGTGGCCACTGCAGGTTGGCTGCTTCTTCCTGGAAGAGCTGGAGTTCAAACTCAAGATGTTGGCTATACTTTAAGGCATTTTCCATGCTCTGTCGGTCTCAAGGGAATCATAAGTATCACTTAACTCTAGCAAATGGATTGATGCCTTATTGGAATCGTAAAGTGGGACTATAGATATTTACATACCCCTGCATGGGAATGAATAGACCAGAGGCCCCTGTAGATGTCGTACATGTGAACCAGTCCAAGTAGGGCAACAAGAGGCTATTTGTACAACCCAGGCTGGAATTCTGTACCAGGAAGAAGAGTAACAAACCTCCAGAATCCGAGGAATCAGGTGGGCCCAACATAGCTACCCTCTTCCTGATGATCAGCCCAGGCCTGTCTGCTTTCTCATTCTAAAGGGCCATGGCTGGGTCCTTGCCCTGAGGGTCACGATTTCAATACAGCCCCTGGGTGGTCAGAGAAACTGGGCATTTTGACTCCTTTCTTATCTAGGACTCCTTTTTTACTGCCTTTCGCTGTGGTTTGCATGTGAGGAGTTGGGAGGAGGCAGGGAGTATAAAACTTACACTCCTGGCATGTGAGCTCTGCATCTGTTCACTTCTATATCTACCCAGCACACCCACTTCAGTATCCAGACCTCTGCTGAGATCACAAAACCCAGTCACTCTTCATAAGTCTGCCATACCAGACTACCATAAATTGTCATTAAATACCCATCCAATTCCCAGCCATATCAATGAAAAACAAACAAGAGAGTGGGGCTAGTGATAAAGAACAGGCTCCTATCAGAATAGACACCATCACACATCGCTGAGGAGATCCTTGGCTTTGATGAGCAAACTGTTGCACAGTACATTCTTAGAAGATGACAAGGAAGACCTGTTTAATGAGTAAAAGCTGAAAAAGTCAGCCCAGTTCCTTTTCCCAGCTCCTGTAATACTAAAGTCAAGACAGATAGGTGCCCAATGATCTCATCAAGATATTATCTCATGCTAACACCCTCAAAAGAGGAATAGGGGTCAGAGGTCAAATGACCCATCCTTTTGTCTGGATATTATTTATACAGTATTGTTGCCATTGATATGTCAGGGGTCTCAGCTCTCTTTTTTGGAAGAATTATTAGCACTTTTTTTTTGGAATGTGAGATTTGAGTTTTTGTGAGATTTGAGTTTTTAAGTGGGGCTTGGGCAATTTTGTAAGTATCCTAGAATAGGTTATTATGGCCTAACTCCAGTTAGGCCATAATAAAAAAAAAGCTCCAGTGAAGCTTTAAATTGTTGGAATTCTCAAAACAGTAGTGCATGCTTATACACCAGTACACCATTAGCTTCCTGGATAATTTTGTTTATGTGAGTTTTTAAATAGGCATTCCCACCACATCCCACTCCCAAAAAGAAGTGTTCACTTAAGGAATATCCATATTCATATGGTCAATTAGACAGAAAACTCCTGATTTGAAAAGGAGTATGGGAAGTTTGGTTTTTTGAGGGGTAGCAGGATAGGGCAGGGCAGCTGTTGAAACACAACAGAGCAGACAGAGCACATAGGACTGATGGGATTGAGTATGGAAAATGAAAAATAGAAACAGCATGGAGTGCTTAAAATTAAAGGGAAGAAGTTGAGATGGCAATTAGTAACTCCTCTTCGGCAAGCAGAAGTTAACAGACATGAGGAGGTGATGACCTCCCAAATATCAAAAACTCCTGGGGTAAGCTGCATGTGAAAAAAAAAGGATTTAGTGATCTTTAACAATATTTGTTAACTATTTGACTCTGTACACAACATTGCATTAAACAGAAAGTAGAATTTTAAAAACAGACAAATATTTATTGAGCACTTACGATATGGTTTGGCTGTGTCCCCACCCAAATCTCATCTTGAATTTCCATATGTTGTGGGAGGGACCCACTGGGAGGTAATTGAATCATGGGGGCAGGTCTTTCCCATGCTGTTCTCATGAGAGTGAGTAAGTCTCATGAGAAACGATGGTTCTATAATGGAGAGTTTCCCTGCACAAGCTCTCTCTTTGCCTGCTGCCATCCACGTAAGACATGACTTGCTCCTCCTTGCCTTCCAGCATGATTGTGAGGCCTCCCCAGCTACATGGAAATATAAGTCCATTAAACCTCTTTTTCTTCCCAGTCTTGGGTATGTCTTTATCAGCAGCATGAAGATGGGCTAATATAGTAAATTGGTACCAGTAAAGTGAGGCATTGCTGAAAAGATACCCGAGAATATGGAAGTGACTTTGAAACTGAGCAATAGGCAGAGATTGGGACAGTTTGGAGGGCTCAGAAGAAGATAAGAAAATGTGGGAAAGTTTGGAACTTCCTAGAGACTTGTTGAATGGCTTTGCCCAAAATGCTGATAGCAATATGGACAAAAAAGTCCAAGCTGAGGTGGTCTCAGATGGAGATTAGGAACTTGTTGGGAACTGGAGCAAAGGTGACTCTTGGCATTTTGCCCCTGCCCTAGAGATTTGTGAAACTGAACTTGAGAGAGATGATTTAGGTTATCTGGCAGAAGAAATTTCTAAGCAGCAAAGCATTCAACAGGTGACTTGGGTGCTGTTAAAGGCATTCAGTTTGAAAAGGGAAGCAGAGCATAAAAGTTTGGAAAATGTGCAGCCTGATGCAATAGAAAATTTGTAGCCTCAATGCAATAGAAAGGAAAATCCCATTTTCCGGGGAGAAATTCAAGCCAACTGCAGAAATTTGCATAAATAACAAGGAGCTGAATGTTAATCACCAAGACAATGGGGAAAATGTCTCTGGGACGTGACAGAGGTCTTCACAACAGCCCCTTCCATCACAGGCCCGGAAGCCTAGGAGGAAAAGATGGTTTCCTGGGCCAGGCCCAGGGTCCCCATTCTGTGTGCAGCCTAGGGACTTTGTGCCCTGCATCCGAGCTGCTCCAGCAGTAGCTGAAAGGGGCCAACATAGAGCTTGGGCTGTTGCTTCAGGAGGTGTAAACCCCAAGCCTTGGCAATTTCCATGTGGTGTTGAGCCTGCAAGTGCAGAGAAGTCAAGGATTGGGGTTTGGGAACCTTTACCTAGATTTCAGAGGATTATGAAAACACCTGGATGCCCAGACAGAAGTTTGCTGCAGGGGTGGCACCCTCATGGAGAACCTCTACTAGGTCAGTGCAAAAGCAAAATTTGGGGTCAGAGCCCACACACACAGTCCCTACTGGGGCACTGCCTAGTGGAGCTATGAGAAGAGGGCCACTGTCCTCCAGACCCCAGAATGGTAGATCCACAGACAGCTTGCACTCTGTGCCTGGAAAAGCCACAGACACTCAATGCCAGCCCATGAAAGCAGCTGGGAGGGAGGCTGTACCCTGCAAGGCCACAGAGGCAGAGCTGCCCAAGAACATGGGAACCCCCCCCTTACATTGGTGTGACCCAGATGTGAGACATGGAGTCAAAGGAGAGCATTTCAAAGCTTTAAGATTCAACTGCCCTGCTAGATTTTGGACTTGCATGAGGCCTGTAGCCACTTCGTTTTGGCCAGTTCCTCCCATTTTGAACAGCTGTATTTACCCAATGCCTGTACCCCCATTTATCCAGGAAGTAACTAACTTGCTTTTGATTTTACAGGCTCATAGGTGGAAGGGACTTCCCTTGTCTCAAATGAGGCTTTGGACTGTGGACTTTTGAGTTAATGCTGAAATGAATTAAGACTTTGGGGGATAGATGGGAAGGCAAGATTGGTTTTGAAATATGAGGATATGAGATTTGGGAGGTGCCAGGGGTAGAATGATATGGTTTGGCAGTGTCCCCACCCAAATCTCATCTTGAATTCCCATATGTTGTGGGAGGGACCCACTGGGAGGTAATTGAATCATGGGGGCAGGCCTTTCCCATGCTGCTCTCATGATAGTGAATAAGTTTCATGAGATCTGATGATTCTATAAGGGGGAGTTTCCCTGCACAAGCACTCTCTTTGCCTGCTGCCATCCATGTAAGACGTGGCTTGCTCCTCCTTGCCTTCCACCATGATTGTGAGGCCTCCCCAGCCACGTGGAAATATAAGTCCATTAAACCTCTTTTTCTTCCCAGTCTCAGGTATGTCTTTATCAGCAGGGTGAAAACAGACTAGTACAACTTGTCATTGTGACTTGCCTAGTAGAACACGTGTGTAGAGGCCAATGTGAAGTGCTGGAGGACATCCACATCAGCACAAGTATAAACCAGTTTCCCCAGGAGTGTACAGATGCTCAGGCACGGTGAAGTCATGTATCATATATCAAAACCACATTCAAACTTGACACGTATCTCTCAGCTGACTTGGAATAGCTATGAGGAATTTTTGCATTTTATCTCTCCAACATGTAAGAGAATAACGTACTGGTTATAAGTTCAGGCTTTTGAATAGTTCACACTTGGATTTAAATCCCCGCTTGGCCAGTTACTCAGTCTGTGACCTGCGACATTATCCTCTCAGCCTCAGTTTCCCCATCTATGAAACGAGATAACAACAATCTTACAGAGCTTTTGAGAGTAGGAAATGAAATTATTTATGTAAAACAGTTAACATAAATAATACATAGCATGTGCTTAAAAACGTGTGCAATTATTATGTGATATTTGTTTTAGTTACTATATATAATAAATTTTATTGATGAACTTGATGAAACACATAGAAGTATTATTTTGTAGTAAAAAGATCCTCTTTAATATACAACATGTAATTCTTTTGCTGTAAGCTTATTCCAAAGAAGGAAGTGGCTTATTGGCTTATTGTAGTGTCATCACTAGGAGTCTTGGAACGTTTCCTGTAAGAGGCGTATAATGTGGAGGGGTACCACTAGAGGGCTCTGCAGGGACCCTATATACCTTTTCCTTGGCTGTAGTGGTGAGGAAGCAACCCTGAGAAGCCCTGGCCTTTTGGAGATCAGAGCCATTCCATTCATTACAGCTGTTCAAGAGGGCAATTAATAAGAATCCAACAAGAGCAACTCCTAGGAGCCACTTCTGCCAGAGAGCTGGGGGTTGCAGGTGGATGTCACCAGAAACATCTGGTAGGTGCTGAGCTAGGAAACCCTATTGCTTGAGTTTCACTCTCCCCTGTACCACTCCACAGAGCTACCCTTGTGGGGACTTGAATGACATAATACAATGAAGTTTTAACTTTGAGACAGGAAACCAGGTAGCATTGAAGGTTCTGAAATTCTGGGCAAAGATCTAACCAACAATAATAACAAAACCCACCTTGAATCTCAACTGATCCTTGAGGCTGGGACCCACACTGATGGCTGGGCATCTGTAAAGGAGATGAACACAAGGCCCTGGGAGTTCTGGGGCTGCATGAGCCCTGTGTGTCCTACCTGCAGGGATGATAGCAGGGCACCTCTGATGATGCACTGTCATGGGATAAATGCCCCTCCGGACTCAGTGGTCACTCAGGGATTGTGCTGGCAAGTGATGCAATAGGTATATGTCATAGCTTTTTAATGAGCACCATCGGCCAGTAGCTTACAGCTGTGTCTGAGTGCCAGCAGTGAAGCTGGTGCCTGCAGAGGCA
Source organism: Homo sapiens (assembly GCF_000001405.40). NCBI lineage: Eukaryota > Metazoa > Chordata > Mammalia > Primates > Hominidae > Homo > Homo sapiens. The sequence continues at coordinate 234,213,645 of NC_000001.11, forward strand.
AATGTCAGATCTGCAGCTGAAGCAAGAACCTGGGAGCTGGGCAGAAAAGGAGCTTTCCTGCTACCGAGGTGAGTTTGGATCTCCAGACTGAGGCGGTGGGGTGGGAGCAGAAATCTCTTCAAGCCTTTGTTTTCTTGTGGCTGTTTTGCTTCTGTGGTGTTTGAACCACCCCCCACTCCACCCCGCAAAAAAATAGCTGTCCACGGGGCCAGACAAGATAATGTGCCTCTAGACTCAAGAAGTGAATGGCAGCCTTGGGAAGCTTTGCTTTTTCTAACTCTCCCTGTGAAATAATTCAGGACTTCCGCACACTGAAGAGTCAACTCTCAATCCAAAGTCAAGCACTTCCCTTTTTAAACTTGTGCAACGCTGAGGCTTAAGTTCTCAGGGTCTCCCCTCCGCAGGCGCTGGTCCTTTTAAAGGGCTTCTCAGAGAGGTGGTGGCCAGAGGCTGCAGTCAGGACCTGGCTGGGAGGAAGACAGGGATGAGGGCTGCGGGGCTGGGCGTCCCGGGGAGGAGGGCGGAGCAGGTGAGCTGCGGGGTGGGAGCAGGGAGTGCACTTGTACGTGACGTTGGAGTTTGCAGCAACCTCCAAGTAGGAGGCTGTGCGCGCGTGTGTGTGGAGTGGCTGCGCGGCCGGGGAGGATGTGCGCTGCAGGGCGGCCGCCGCAGTGAGCAACGCGGCAACCGGAGCCCGGCGGGCAGCCGGGGAGGCCGGGACTGAGAGGGGCGAGCCGCTGGTGCTCCCCGGCGGCAGAGGGCCGCGTCGGCCACGGGCCC